>NC_000012.12:31054723-31207418 GCF_000001405.40 Homo sapiens | reverse complement strand
GATACATTTGTGGTACACGTTGGTTAGGTCTAGAAAGGCAGGACAGCTCAAAGGGGGCAGGGAACTGTGCTTCCAGGTCCTAGGTGGATTCAAAGATTTTCTGATTGGCACTTGATTAACATAGTTTATCTAAAGAGCTGGAATCGATAGGAGGAAGTGTCTGGGTTAAGATAACGGGTTTTGGAGACCAAGATTCTTATTATGCAGATGAAGCCTCTGCGTAGCAGGCTTCAGAGAGAACAGATTGTAAATGTCTCTTATCAGACTTAAAAAGGTGCCAAACTCTTAGTTAAGTCTCTCCTGGATCAGGAAAATGACCTGGAAAAGGATGGCGATTCTCTGTAGAATGTAGATTTTCCCCACAAAAGACAACTGTGCAGATCCATTTCAAAATATGTCAAAGAAATATATTGTGGGTGCGGGGCTTAAAACCTGGATGGCAGATTGATAGGTGCAGCAAACCACCATGGCACATATATACCTATGCAATAAACCTGAACATTCTGCACATTATACCAGAAGTTAAAGTAAAATTTTTAAAAAATGATCATGTTCGAGTAAAAAAAAGAAAGAAATATATTTGAGGGTAAAATACTTCAATTTCTTTTAGGCCCTGTTATCTGTCATGTTGATGTCTTATTGCTACAAAGAGTATTTTGTCTTAAGCTCTCTGTTTTGATGTTAATGCTGATCAGCAGTGCCTGTATTCCAAAGGGGGAAGGTGTAATCAGATACATCTGACCTCCCACTCCTATCATGGCCTGAACTAGTGTTTCAGATTTACTGTAGGATGTCCTTGGCTGACAGAAGGGGTTCATTCTATTGGTTGGGGGGCTTAGAATTTTATTTTTGGTTTACACTACAACAAAAGTATAACTTTCTTGTGCCAAGGTGTTGCATTTACCACAGGCCTTTCCCAACAGAGTGCATTCGGTCCTAACCACACTCTGCCTGAGAGACTACCTCTGCTTCCACTAGTAAGAAGCTCTGGAAATGTTTATAACTTGTTGTAACGGCTTTAATGCCAAATAAAACAAGTTTACACACCCTGATTATGTTCAGTAGTGGTAACTCAGAGGAGAGCACTGTGAGCCTGCCCTCATGACACAGCCCCACCACAGATACTTATGCTTGTGGGTCTTTACACAAAGAGAGGCCTTAAGGGAGAGAACAGATGAGCATTGCTTACCATTGGTTGGTATGAACCAGCTGCCTACTGAGGCTCTGGACAAAGGGCTTCTCAAGAACAGGTTTTGCAGAGGGAATGACGGGTTCCCATTTGTCCCATGACTCATGGTAAGTTCCTGGCAAATTTCCCTAAACCCTTCATCAATTGGCTACGAAGAAACACTGCATGCTTTGCAAAGTGATCACAGCCAAAAGTTGCAAAATGATTTGAATTATTTCCAGAAGCTTTGTATTTTCTTAATATCAAAAATGATCAATACTACCTAAAGATTCATACTTTAAAGAAAGTGAAGCAAGAAAGGTGGTGAAAACACAGGAGAGAAGTTATATTCTGAAAATGACTTTGGAAGAGTGAATAGATCTTCACTAAGCTTGGAAGCATAATTTATTCTTTTTCTTATTTTTCTTTTTACTTTTCATGAGTATATATTAATTTTTATTTTTTAATAGTATATATTACCTATAAACTTCAGTTACTTTGCATTGTAGGGAAAGGCATCTTGAATATAAAATGTTTTCTTATATTAAATATATGAATATTCACTGCCATAAAAGCAGACAATGTTTATTAATAACATTATTCCAAAGTATTCACAATATACTCAGACTTGGACTTATGTCTTACTTGTGTTTTATTTTGACAATTACTGAACTCATTTTTTTAATTTCATAAAATAAATTGCTGCTGTTAAAAAATTATAATAAAAGGCATCCCAGATGCATTTTTTTAAAACATTAGAGCAATGATCTTAAAGTTAGAAGCATTGATTTAGATTTTGTTTAGAATCCTTTTTTGTAGTAATGGTAAGGAGGCTTTAGCCCAGCATTGCACTTTTATAGTTGTAATGAAACACATCTCTGCTTTACAGGATGAGGAAGTGAACATTGGAATGTATGTGAATAAAGAGGGATTTTTTTCATATGCTGGAAACGGCATTCCCAGTTTGCCTAACAGACAACCCACACCATCATTTTTCCCACTCTCTCCACACCCTTAACTTTATGAATGAGATCCTTCTTGTCTAGTAAATGATGAAATCTTTTCCCACAGTAGAAGGGGATTTCCCATGCGTAGACTGAGAATTAGAAACAACTGCTCTGTATCCTGTATGCAAATAACATTGTTATTGTACTGTAAAAAACTTACGTATGTCTGTGTTCATGTGTATATGTGTTCTGTTATTCTTACTGTTTCCCATTTAAACAGTTAGAAGACTTTTACCAAATTTAGAAGGTGTATTAGGGAGGTCTATATTTATATCTATCTCTCAATTTGGATAATGTTTATGTACAAAGTTCACTTTTGAGATCTGGGGGAAAATCTAAAAAAATGAACAATCATACCTTAAGTCAGATGTAACTTAGAGAGTTGGAGGCAAGTATAAATAATATTAATAGAATTACTCCATATGTATTATAATTCCATGGAATAAGAAAATAAATCATAATTCTAAACATGAGTCCCAGATAGAAGGTTAGGGCATTTACTCCAAATTTTAGGTGCTAACTGGCAATCTAGAAAATTCTCATATGTGCAAGTCAGTGTAGTATGCTCATATATTTATTTATCAGAGGGGTATTATTCAAATATTTAATAGTTATGATTTCTTCAATCAAATCAGATAGATGAGATTGTATGTGTGTTTATAAAGATGAATTTAATTCTCCTTATAAAAGATAAGTGCACTGCAAGATCCACCTTCTACTCAACAAATTCAAACATTTGTACTAATTTGTCTTTTGGAAATTTCTTATATTAACTTTCCTGTTATCGATGTTAGATTTGGATTTCTAAATTGTAATGGGTTAATAAAGTCTGAGAAAGCATTTGATCTCCAGATGTGCCCTACTATTGGTATGATTTATATTTTGCATTTTAATTAGTAAAGATGCTCTATATGTAAGTACATGCCTGACTGTGTTCCTCAAATAGTAAGTGATCATTTTAGATTCACACTTTGGAATGAGTGTTGTAGCAAGGGGTAACGAAACCCCAAGGAATCAGTAACAGGCAAACATAAAGAGAGGTAGGTTTGGGTGTTGCTTTTCACAAAGAACAACACAAGTAGTCACTAATCTGAGACTGTTAGCCAACTGGGATATAAAGAGGAAGGAGTAGATTGAAAGCATAAAGTCCATTGTCTTAGTCAAATGATTAAGGGCAATTGTCTTTAGATTTGGCCAAAATTTCATAGGTAAAGAAGTGCATGATAACAGGCTTTTTAGAAAGGGTTATGTGAAAATAGAGTAACAATAAAATAAAAGCTAATGTCTCATTAAGTTGACCATACCCTAAATACAGATACTGGCTTTAATCTTTTCTAGTTCTCTGTAATATATAGCAGTGGGAAACCAGCAGAAGACATTATTAGTCAGAAAGATGCGTCTGCTTCTCACTGCATTACAAAACCTGTGTAAAACCTCTGGATAGAAAGCTAGCACCCCAATAATGGGTTTGCTTTAAAAGTCTGGGAGTCAAGAGTGCTTACTTCAAATGCAGCATAGGATGGGTTGAATGGAAAGAAGTGAATGGAAAGAAGCTCTCCTCCTGGGAGGGTTAATATTCTCCTATTTTGCTCCCCAAGAATATGGTTAGTTGTACACAGACACAAGATTCTATGGAAAACCTGAGACTGACTAAAAGTCATGATTGACTCAAGAAGTGCTTGCATTCATATACCACCCATTGGAAATTCAACAATGAATAAAACATGCAGGCTGTATCTCTGAGATTCCCACAGCCAAGTGGCATGTATTACATAAAAACTAAATATTTGTAGTGTGACATGACATCCTGTAATAGAGATGAGTACCTGTGTTATGGGAGCTAAAAGCAGCAACAACTAACTTCAGCTTGGGAATTATGAAAGTTTGAACCGAATCACAAAAGAACAAGGAGGATATATGTACCTGGTAGACAGGAAGTCATATAAAGAGAGGTTCTAGACAGAAGACTGAGCCCACAAATACACATGTAGAGATGAAAGGGTGTGGCACATTGCTGGTGTTTTCAGGGAAGAAAGCAGAACGTCTGTGGGCAAGCAGTGGGGGCTATAGGTAGATAAGAGCCTTAAGAAACTTTTTTTTCTAAAGAGTTTGGAATTTATCTTGTAGGTAATAGTGGACCATTAAGGATTTTTAAAGAGGATATGATATAATTAACTTGAATTTTAGGAAAAAACAGTTGGTAAATAGATTTCCTGCTGTTTTCAGTAAAAGGGCAATGTCAGAGGCTGAGCCCAATGAAACCACTTTGTGATACTTGATAAAGTCACAGCAATCGTGCGATTGTCTTCTAAGAGCATCTTATTTAGTCAAAACTCTAAAGACAAAGAAACACAAAATACCTGGCAATAATTTTGGTAAAGGAAAAGAAGAAAATGAAATGCAAAAAAAGAAAAAGTAATGCTTCAATAAACTTTCCTACCAGGATACTTTTATATAAAAATATGTCGTATGGAAAATACAACATCAACAATTAGTAATAAAAAAGACATGGTAATATTTAATTTTTTTTCAATTAGAGCTTCCTTAAGCCTTTGTTATTTTTACATTGCTTCCATTGTAATAACTATACAGAGCATTGCCAACCAGAAATTGGTACTGAGTTCTCAAAATAGATTTAGCTCTCAACCAAGAAATAATAGTGAGATACAAATTAATTTACAATGATTGAATTTACTGAAATGGGATTTAATTTGTTCTTGAAATTTTCACTCATAGGCATTGTAAATTATGTCTAGGAAATGCTGATGCAAGACTGTTTTGTAAATTAGATAACACACCTAATGACATGTAACACACTGGGAGATGGCTAAAATTTAAACATGACTTAAACTTTAAGAATGACTCAGGAAATACTGGCAAAATCTCCTGCATGGATATATAGTCCCATACTCGGCTTCCCTGACTAGTGAGAACGTCTGGGCTCCTAGAACACTGACCTGTATGTGGATCTAGCAGACACGGCATATTGACTTTTTCTTCATCTCATTGGATCATGATGTGGAAGATAATACATCTGGGTGTTTTTCTCTTTCATCTGTCTCTTTCTCAGTCTCCAAACTTGTCAGTGATTACACAGTTTATTATTTCACATGGAAGGCAAATAGAGCTTGGTATTAAAAATTCAGGCTGGGCACAGTGGCTTACGCCTGCAATCCCAGCACTTTGGGAGGCTGAGATGGGCGGATCACCTGAGGTCAGGAGTTCAAGACCAGCCTGGCCAACATAGTGAAATGAAACCCCATCTTTACTAAAAATACAAAAATTAGCCGGGTGTGGTAGCATGAGCCTGTAATCCCAGCTACTCTGGAGTCTGAGACTGGAGAATCGCTTAAACCTGGGAGGCGGAGGTTGCAGTGAGGCAAGATCGTGCCACTGGGCACTCCAGCCTGGGCGACAGAGGGAGACTCTGTCTAGAAAAAAAAAAAATAAATAATAATAATAATAATAATTAAACATTACATTTTTATTGCAGTGATTTGATTTTAAATAATTTTATCATTTTACAATATAACCCAAAATATGCTCATGGGACTAGTAAATTTCAAATTTGGTTGGCATCATCATCTCTGCCTCGTAGATATCCAGAATGCTGAGTAAGAGCTGTAACAGTGCTATATTTATGTTGAGGAAGAGGTGTCTGACAGCTGCTGGGGAAGGAACTGGACAAACAGTAGGCAAATATAAAACAGAATGTGCTGTGTCAGTTTGGGGGCAAAAGCATTGTACAAGAACACTGATGATGTTAACCTTTATAGAACTAATGACAAATTACCTGCTGATTTTTAATTGGGATTTCCTTTTTGACTTTTAAAAATTTAATTCATATGCCAACATCTTTCTGTTTCATACAGATTTAGCCATTTGATGTATTTCTAACATTTAAAAATAACATACTTCTCTTAAACTCAAAAATTCTTCAATTAACACAATAATTGCTAAGTAACTAATCACACATTCAATTGTAATGGTCTTGCTTGAATTTTGTAGGCAGTATGTTCTGCTGATTCCTTCTGTTCTACAAGAAGGCTCTTTGGATAAAGCTTGTGCCCAGCTTTTTAATCTCACTGAATCTGTTGTTTTGACGGTCTCCCTCAACTATGGTGAGGTCCAGACCAAAATATTTGAAGAAAATGTTACTGGAGAAAATTTCTTCAAATGCATCAGCTTTGAGGTAAATACTTCTTTCTGCTTAATATAGAAAAGAATATTACAGGTGCATGAACACCACCCACATAACTGATTTTTTAGGGACAGAGATCAGGCTATTTGACTGTATGTGTAAAGTTATTTTAATTTTTAAAAGAATAATATAGTCCTCAGTATGAGATGATGTTAAGTACAGTCATAAATGGTAACAAGGGCAAGAGCCAAAACATTTGATTTTATGATAGAAAATTGTTGAAGGGAATAAGACATATAGAAAGAATGACTCTTGTGCAGAAAAGGGAAGTTTTAAGAAAGGCAAAAGAATCCATTTAAATGGTGAGATAAGGAAGTGACAAAGCAAGAGAAATAAACAAGGTTGGTTATTGAAGAAATAGATATGACAAATTATGAATTAAAACTTTTAGTGATACCAACACACAGTGATAGAGATTTCTTAACAAAAAATCAGTTTCATGGAGTATTTATTTGTTCCCTAGGTTCCTCAGGCCAGATCTGACCCACTGGCATTTATTACATTTTCTGCTAAAGGAGCCACTCTCAACCTGGAAGAGAGGAGATCTGTGGCAATCAGATCCAGAGAGAATGTGGTCTTTGTACAGACTGATAAACCCACCTACAAGCCTGGACAGAAAGGTGAGTGTACCTAAATCAGGTTACCCTCAACTAATGTCACTTATATGATATTTGAATTGATGGTACACAATACAAGCTCAGAAATTTTATTGTATTAAAGTTTATTAGAGAACCTGCTTAAAAATACAAAATAAAAATATAGATTACATAGCCTAAATGTTAGAGATTTCATTTCCATGAGTCTGGGGTGGGGAGCCTCAGAAAGTGTATTTTTAAAGAGCACCTTATTCTATTCTAATAATATCCATATTATTCTAATAATATTCTAATAATATCCGTATTATTCTAATAACATTCTAATCACATATTTGGGGATTTTGAATTTAATTTACACAAACTTACAAGCTTATGGTTGAAATAGAAACAAAAGAGCAACAAAGTATGTCATGAACATGTAATGAGATACCCCTAGTGACTAGAGAATTGCCCAAGTAATAGAATGATCAGCATGATGTTGAATTAAGCTGAAAAGCCTCCTCTCTCCTCCTGGGTACAGAAGGAGTTGATGAATACAGATTACAGCAGTCAGAAGATAGACATTTCTGATGAGATGAATGGTACATAAAAAAGCACTGAGGTAGAATTAATTTAAAAACCATGCCGTAAAATGAGAAGTAGATAGACTTATTTGGAGTAAAGAAACCCAAATGTCCATCAATGATAGATCGAATGAAGAAAATGTGGCACATATACACCATGGAATACTATGCAGCCATAAAAAAGGATGAATTCATGTCCTTTGCAGGGACATGGATGAAGCTGGAAACCGTCATTCTGAGAAAACTATTGCAAGGACAGAAAACCAAACACCACATGTTCTCACTTATAGGTGGGAATTGAACAATGAGAACACTTGGACACAGGGTGGGGAACATCACACAACAAGGCCTGTCGTGCAGTGGGGAGAGGGGGAGGGATAGCACTAGGAGAAATACCTAATGTAAATGACGAGTTAATGGGTGCAGCACAGAAACATGGCACATGTATACATATGTAACAAACCTGCACGTTGTGCACAAGTACCCTAGAACTTAAAGTATAATAATTAAAAATAAAATAAAATGTGATATAATAAAAGAAAAAAAAAGGAAGGAAAAGAAGCTGCAGTGAATAGAAGAGTTAAAGGAAATCCCTGAATATAGAACTAAAGAGGCATTTTCATGTAGTTAAGTAACACCCATGAGGAGTCACTACAGATGTGGGGATCATGGCTTGAGGAGGCAGTCGTGGATGAACTGGGAATCACAGTAATCAGAGCCTGCTTAGGCACCAACACACTGTGATCCCAGAACAACACAAGCAGAGGGAGGTGAGGGATATGTGCTGGAGATGGAGGAATGCACTGCATGCATTGTGCTATCCCCAGCCTTCCACTCCTCTTCCCCTGACCCTTTGCCTCCCTCCCTCACTTCACAAAAGAGGGCATTCAGGTCAGTATTTAGGCACCAGAGAAAGAAGGACTAGACAAGAAAGACAGGGCATGGCTGTACAGTTTGGGCTGGCACCAACAACGGTGGAACAAACATTACGAGAGCATGCATGCTGGCGTGGGAGGTGCTTATGAGGGGGAAGAGTATATGTGCTTGACACAAGAGGATGTCCAAGGAAGGCTTCTAGGATTCTTGCTAAGGAGAGCTATAGAAGGCAGAGGTGGGGAAGGTGGCTGCTACTTCAAAGAGCACAGAAACATTAAACCTTAATTTAAAATTGCTTTTTTAAAATTTCTTATCCATCCACAGTCTAGTAAAGAGTCTAATGCACAGAGGAAAGGTTATAACATAGCAAAGAAATTGAGCCAGGAGTCTTACACAATTGAGAGATATTCAGTTTTCAAAAAATTGATCATTACAATCTGAGATTATAATGCTACAAATATTCATAATCTACCCAGCATCATGCTTCTTTTTGAATAAAAATATGGTGTGATATTAACTATGATTGCTAAAACCTCATTGCACAGTTTATTGTTGCTTCATATTTATAATGCAATATATTAACTACTATATAGTGGCATGAACAAAATATGAAAAAGCATAGTAAACAGATAAAATAGAAAGTGAGACCAGACTAATATGGTGATGGTAGTCTAAGACAGTATTTCAGCAGAAGACTACAATCTAGCTAGCGACAATCTGAGAACCAAGGCGATCAACAGTGAAAACTGTCAAAAGACAACGAATTATGACCTGGACTTCAGTCTTTACAACAGGATACCTGACAAATTTCATTTCATGTAGTTTAGAAACCTGTTAGAACTAAGCATTCTTTTGTGGTCTCTCAGATCAATCTATCAACTGAGCGCAGTTACGAAGAAGCTTCTGAAGCTTACAGAAGCTGTGCAGATGGTTTCTCTGTTAGTGCCTTTTCCTCCCTCCAAATTGTACTTCATCCTTAAGACATCGTCACTTTTAATCCACCTCCTTTCCCCATCTTCTATAGTTATGCTACATTCACTAGACTGTTGCTTAATTTTAATTTCCAGAGCAGGAATCTAATTTTTAGTGCTCCAAAGACCTTGTAGTAATCTAAATCCGAAATCACTTCCGTAAGATAGCATGTGGTTCCTGTTCTCCTTGGTTCATGGTTGAAGCTTCTATTTCTAAGAATGCAACTCCTCTATTTAACCAAGGCAGTGAGAATTTCTACTGCAATCCTTTGACAATCATCCTTGATTGGAAGCACCATGGGGAAGTAAAGGTCTTCTTGAAAATCAAAGCAGCTGCAGCATTATCATAACTCCCTTATTAGTTCTCACCCCCCAATGTTGACTTATTATTGTCAATTAGGCCAAATATGATTATCCAACTCCCTGCTTTAGTAATAACTACATTTGCATAAGAACAGGATTAATGGACTGTTCCCTCAAATATGGGTCATAGATAAGAAGATCATTTGTACCAAATGTTTATGGCAAGGAGTTTCCATGGCACAACAAACTGCATGTGCTTATGTATAGAGATGGAAATTGATGTAGCATTTCCAAAAATGATGGCAGCTAAGAGATTATGTGGTTTTATCTTTGCAAGCCAGTGTTTCTAATTGCTGGACATTATCTGGTTCAGTATTCCATTTAGATAAATAGATTCAATGCATGGCTGGCCTATGAGATTTGGGCATTCATAATAAATTTGACTACATAATAAAAATATAGTAATGATGCAACTGGGCTCATTATCAAATGAGCCAAGATATAGAGCATATACCTAGTTTCTTCTGCCCAAATCTTACATCGGTCTTTTCTTTCATTTTCTGCAATTTCATTGCTGATGGTGCCTTTCTTTTCCTTTAAGTCAGTGTTTTGTAGAATATTCAAACATACTTTTTCCAGAAAGTTTCATTTGCATCAAGAAGTTTCAGATCTTTCTTTAAACTTATCTTAAGACCTGGAACTACTAGTCCTCTAAAAAGAGGCCCTGTGTATGGACAGGGAGAGATAGTATGAACCAGAAGGGGACATGAAGGAGTTGTTGTATTGGTTCTTGGCTGGTTTATACAAGATTTAGTGCAGACAGTCATTAGTGACTACAGCAGAATCAGCCTCATTTTAATAATTGTTTTTAGAGAAAAATCAAGCAGCTTAGAACAATGAAAATGTGATTTTACTAGGTTCTTGTTCACTAGTTTTTTGAAATAGACCAAGCTGAGTTTAAAAAAAAATCTAAAAAAAAAAGACAAATTAAGTAATAAAAACTAAATTTGTTGAACACAGTTGAAGCCATCTGCATTGGAAGTATTACAAATAGCAAACAAAAAGGGATAGTACTCTAGGTTCATTTCTCATTATTAGAATCTCATCCAAATGGTTAACGTCTTCCCATGGCACCTTTGGGTAATATATTCTTCATTTTCTTCCTATGAGGAAATCTCATGAGAAGCTCTACCTCTCTTAATGCTTGAGTTAATGTTGCAGCAGTAGCTTTCTTCAATACCATCTCAATATTTCATCAAGATTCAATTCCATGAATTTAGAATAACAAGTAGGCCCTTAATTCAACTGTTATATTTCTCAGTTCCAAGAATTCTGGACAAGGTTTATGAATCCTGTTCTTATCTCCAGACACATTACGTTTTATTAGTGAATGAATGCTGCAATTAGTGGGAAGGAGCACTTAGCAACTTGGGGAGTGGGCAAAGGACCCTATGTACTCATTTTTAAAATTCTCATCAGCCTATTCACATGAGGGCTTCTGGCCTAGGAGTCTTTAATTTCAACTTGTTAGTTTTAAGGTCCTGAGAGAAAACACTAAGAGATGAAAGTCAAACTGTTGACTATAGGTTTAGAGGGGGCAAGAGTGGTAAACATGGAGAGAACTGAGAGGAGATACAGAGAGGTGGAAGGAGAAGGAAGAAGGAGAGGAAACTCTGCAAGGGAAACTTGGGCAAATGTCTACGTTTATTTACTTGTCTGATAAGGAAATGGTGGAGTATAGGAATGGCCAATAATCTAAGACAAAAAAAATTAGTGCTAGATACAGAAATCAAAATTGAAGCATTTCAAAAAGAGGCAACCAGCAGTGTAAAACATTGCAACTGTCAGAGTGAAGACTGACCACGAATTTGTTGATAAGGAAGTTATGATTCATCTAAGAGGGCATTTTTATTATGTTGGAGAGACCCAAGGGCAGGGTTGCTTACTGAGACTGCAGGGTGTATGTTGTGAAAGAGAGAGAAGTAAATGAAAATTCTTGAAAACTAGGCAGATGAGTTTCAATATAATCAATAGATATTCAAACTTTCAGTCAGAAATCAGTATTTGTTTGGGTTGTCCTAAATGTGTTTATGTTTCTTTGCTTAATAATAGATTTATAATTAACCTCTTCACTCATCTAGAAAAAAAAACCTTGAGTTCATATATTAACATTATTTTTATTTTTATTTCAGTATCCAGTGATCACCCTTCAGGTAAGATAACTAATAGTTGAAGAATTGTTTTCTCATTTTTTGAACATCTCTCTAAACCTCAAAATCAAAAGGCAGCTCACAGGGAAGATTGTCTATTTAAATTGTCGCAGAATTATTAATTTCATGTAGACAGCCTCAAGAGGACAGAAATAGGTTTCCACCCCCACCACCATGTGATTCATATTAGCATGCACCCATTAATACAGACAATAATAATATAGACAACGGGCAAGTATGATTGTATTTAATTTAATGTTTAGTTGTTGAATGTATATAAATGTACACTTAATGTTTTATGCACTGGGGATAAAATATGGCTCGCCTTTAAGAAATCAGAGATTGACACAGAAAATAAATGTAAAAAAATCACAGCTAGCTCTAAAATATACTAAGTACTGTAATATGCATCTATGTGACCTCAGATAGGAGAGTAACCAATTCTCCTTGGGTGATGTGAGGACACACTCATGTTTTGAATCCTAAGTCAGTTGGAAACCTAAGTAGGAAACACCTTGCTGAAACTTTATAATGAATAAAAACATCCAGCATGCAAAAATACACTTTCTTATTCTCAGGATCCAGAAGGCAATCGAATACAACAGTGGGTGAATGAGGAGTCTGTGGGAGGGATTCTACAACTCTCCTTCCAGTTAATCTCAGAGCCCATCCTCGGATGGTATGAAATCACCGTGGAGATGCTCAATGAGAAGAAAACATATCACTCCTTCTCTGTGGAAGAATATGGTAAATAATAGCAATGAAAATATTACCTATTAATAAAAAAATTATAAAATCTTTCCAATTTTGCAAGGGCAGGATTATTAAATAATGAATTTTCAAGTGAGTATCTCTTCCTTTCCTCTTTCCTTGTCCTCTGTTACTATTTTAGGGTTCTCCATCTACTGTGATTTTTATCTCCTAGTTCAGCCCATAATCTTCCTGCAATTCTCTGTTAACCTAGGCTATCTATCTTCCTTTTGTAGTATCTGGATTCTATTTTATATGATAGTTTCTGGGATGTAAAGCACTTCTTATGAGAAGAATGGAATTAACATTAGTCATATGTTAGCCATTAGTCCCTTCATATTTTCTCCTAAAATCTTCATAAAATTTCTATTGTAGTATCTTTATTACTATTTTAAAGATGAAGATATTGAGAAACACTTTCCCAAGTTCAACACCTGAGAAGTGATGAATTTGGAATTCAAAATATGCATTTTTCTATCCAATTCCAAAATCCAGTCTTAGGCACTTCAACGTCCTCCTCACACTGTTTATTAATGGCAAACATAAGCAAAGGTTGATGGTTTGTAAAGGAGAAACAATTGTTTTGTATGAATGTATTTATGTTAATATGTATTTATGTTAATAATATATAATATACACATTATAATATAATATATATATATTTTTTTTACTGGCAGTGTTACCCAAATTTCAAATGACTGTGGATGCACCAGAAAATATCTTAGTTGTGGACTCTGAATTCAAAGTGAATGTCTGTGCCTTGTAAGTTGAAATTGTACACAATAGAATAATGTATTCATAGAAAGATATTAGAATGGGATAGATGGCTAAAAAGAAGTAAAATATAAATGTGTAGAAGGTAAGGGAAAAAGAAGGTGTTAAATTATTTTGCTGATTTTATGAATTCTTCCATGCATCTATAATTCTTTTAATGCATGTTATGACACGTGGTTTTATGTAACAGTTTAAGACAACTGACTACTGTCTTTCTTACATCATAAGATAACATATTGTTTTGCACCAGCCAATACAGTAGCCGTGACCACATGTGGTTATTTAAGTTTTAATTAAAACTAAATATTCAGTTGCGTTAGCCACATTTCAAGCTGTCACATGTGACTAGTGGCCACTGAATTGGAGAGCATAGACATAAAACATAGAACATTCCATCTCCCAGAAATTTCCATTGGACAATATCTTCTGTTTATGATGATTTCTCAATTCAATCTTTATGTATTACATGATTATAAAAGAAAACTGAAGCTCAAGATGTATCACAGAGAAAACTGCTGTAAGAGTTACAAGTGGCTCTAGGGTAATGGCGGGGCACAGTGTGGAGGATACTAAGGGCAGACAGGGACTTAGGGGCAAATAGTGAGGATTAACGTGTGGCAGGAGTAGCAGTGAAGCAGGTCAGGTTGTTTTCCCCTCTTGTCACTAAGTTAAGCAACATTCACAGAGTTTATATAACCAGCAAAGAGAGCCAGGGTGCAAACATTAAAACTTTGTCTCCTCAGACCTGATGTGTACTACTTTTCCCTGACTCATGTGTACTACTTTTCCTTTTAATTTTGCATAATTAAAAATAAAAAAGTGACCTGGAAATTTCTAGTTATTAGGAGAGCTTCACTACAGTAATCTAAAATTCCATGCCAAACTTTAAGGTGAAAGCTTTGCCTGTCCTCCTTCCTGTGTCTACTTTAGGCTGGAAGTCTTTAAGAGTCAAGAAGAAGCATGGCTAACTTTTTGATGTCACTACCTTGTGCTTCACCTCCAGAGTTGGAAGAATACAGAAAAGGCAGAGACTGAAAAGTCTCATTGTAGTTGGGTCATAAAGGCAGGGAATTGCCAGCATTGCTGGAAAATCCCCTGAGTAACAGAAATCCCCAAAGCCCAAATGTCTAGGTACTTCCCTATCACAGTGGCTGTGTGTTGGCTCCTGTGTCATTTTTACTGGAGAAGTATTGCATAAGCAAAATAAAGCACTCTAGGACAAGCCAGCTGGGAATCCCAAAACATAAGCATGAATCACTAAATGGTTGAAGATTCTAATGACTTGAAATCAAGGTATTATATAAACAAAAAAAAGAGCAATATATACCTGAGAAAACTGTTGAACATCAATCAGAAAAAAATTTAGAAATAAGTAAAATGTGTATACTCAGATATGAGTCAATAGTGTAACTTTAAAAATAATTAAAGACCTTGGAAGTAGGCATATTATTAATTTAAAAATATATGTGTAGAAAGGCTGACTAGAAGGATCGATGATGCTTAAGAGAGAATTAGTAATTTGGAAGATGAAATTGAGAAATTGTCATAAAACGTAGCCCAGAGGAATCTACTGTTATTCCTTACAAGCAATTTTGTTCTTTGCTCTTTCTACCTATTTAAAATTTTTTAAATTATACTTTAAGTTCTAGGGTACATGTGCACAACATGCAGGTTTGTTACAAATGTATACATGTGCCACGTTGCTGTGCTGCACCCATTAACTTGTCATTTACATTAGGTATATCTCCTAATGCTATCCCTCCCCACTGCCCCCACCCCACGACAGGCCCCAGTGTGGGATGTTCCCCACCCGGTGTCCAAGTGTTCTCATTGTTCAGTTCCCACCTATGAGTGAGAACATGCGGTGTTCGGTTTTCTGTCCTTGCGATAGTTTGCTCAGAATGTTGGTATCCAGCTTCATCCATGTCCCTACAAAGGACATGAACTCATCCATTTTCATGGCTGCATAGTATTCCATGGTGTATATGTCCATCTATCATTGATGGACATTTGGGTTGGTTCCAAGTCTTTGCTATTGTGAATAGTGCCGCAATAAACATAAGTGTGCATGTGTCTTTATAGCAGCATGATTTATAATCCTTTGGGTATATACCCAGTAATGAGATAGCTGGGTCAAATGGTATTTCTAGTTCTAGATCCTTGAGGAGTCACCACACTGTCTTCCACAATGGTTGAACTAATTTACAGTCCCACCAACAGTGTAAAAATGTTCCTGTTTCTCCACATCCTCTCCAGCACCTGTTGTTTCCTGACTTTTTAATGATTGCCATTCTAACTGGTGTGAGATGGTATCTCACTGTGGTTTTGATTTTCATTTCTCTAATGGCCAGTGATGATGAGCATTGTTTCATGTGTCTGTTGGCTGCTTAAATGTTTTCTTTTGAGAAGTGTCTGTTCATATCCTTCGCCCACTTTCTGATGGGGTTGTTTGATTTTTTCTTGTAAATTTGTTTAAGTTCTTTGTAGATTCTGGATATTAGCCCTTTGTCAGATGGGTAGATTGTAAACATTTTCTCCCATTCTGTCAGTTGCCTGTTCACTCTGATGGTAGTTTCTTTTGCTGTGCAGAAGCTCTTTAGTTTAATTAGATCCCATTTGTCAATTTTGGCTTGTGTTGCCATTGCTTTTGGTGTTTTAGACATGAAGTCCTTGCCTATGCCTATGTCCTGAATGGTATTGCCTAGGTTTTCTTCTAGGGTTTTTATGGCTTTAGGTCTAACATTTAAGTCTTTAATAATCTGTCTTGAATTAATTTTTGTATAAGGTGTAAGGAAGGGATCCAGTTTCAGCTTTCTACATATGGCTAGCCAGTTTTCCCAGCACCATTTATTAAATAGGGAATCCTTTCCGCATTTCTTGTTTTTGTCAGGTTTGTCAAAGGTCAGATGGTTGTAGATGTGTGGTATTATTTCTGAGGGCTCTGTTCTGTTCCATTGGTCTATATCTCTGTTTTGGTACCAGTACCATGCTGTTTTGGTTACTGTAGCCTTGTAGTATAGTTTGAATCAGGTAGAGTGATGCCTCCAGCTTTGTTCTTTTGGCTTAGGATTGTCTTGGCAATGCGGGCTTTTTTTTGGTTCCATATGAACTTTAAAGTAGCTTTTTCCAATTCTGTGAAGAAAGTCAATGTTAGTTTGATGGGAATAGCATTGTATCTATAAGTTACTTTGGGCAGCATGGCCACTTTCACGATGTTGATTCTTCCTATCCATGAGCATGGATTGTCTTTCCATTTGTTTGTGTCCTCTCTTATTTCCTTGAGCAGTGGTTTGTAGTTCTCCTTGAAGAGGTCCTTCACATCCCTTGGAAGTTGGATTCCTGACTTCAAACTATACCACAAGGCTATGGTAACCAAAACAGCATGGTACTGGTACAAAAACAGATATATAGACCAATGGAACAGAGCAGTGGCCTCAGAAATAGCACCACACATCTACAACCATTTGACCTATGACAAACCTGATGAAAACAAGCAATGGGGAAAGGATTCCCTATTTAATAAACGGTGTTGGGAAAACTGGCTAGCCATATGCAGAAAACTGAAACTGGACCCCTTCCTTACACCTTATACAAAAATTAACTCAAGATGGATTAAAGATTTAAATGTTAGACCTAAAACCATAAAAACCCTGGAACAAAACCTAGGCAATACCATTTAGGACATAGGCATGGGCAAATACTTTATGACTAAAACGCCAAAAGCAATTGCACCAAAAGCCAATATTGACAAATGGGATCTAATTAAACTAAAGAGCTTCTGCATAGCAAAAGAAACTATAATCAGAGTGAACAGGCAACATACAGAATGGGAGAAAAATTTTGCAATCTATCCATCTGAGAAAGGGCTAATATCCAGAATCTATAAGGAACTTAAATAAATTTACAAGAAAAAGCAAACAACCCCATCAAAAAGTGGGTGAAGGATATGAACAGACACTGCTTAAAAGAAGACATTTATGCAGCCAACAAACATATGAAAAAAAGCTCATCATCACTGGTCATTAGAGAAATCCAAATCAAAACCACAATGAGATACCATCTCATGCCAGTTAAAATGGCAATCATTAAAAAGTCAGTAAACAACAAATGCTGGAGAGGATGTGGAGAAATAGGAACGCTTTTACACTGTTGTTGGGAGTGTAAATTAGTTCAACCACTGTGGAAGACACAGTGGCCATTCCTCAAAGATCTAGAACCAGAAATACCATTTGACCAGCAATTGCATTAGTGGGTATATACCCAAAGGATTATAAATCATTCTACTATAAAGACACCTGCACACGTACGTTTATTGCAGCACTATTCACAATAACAAAGACTTGGAACCAATCCAAATGCCCATCAATGTTAGACTGGGTAAAGAAAATGGGGCACATACACACCATGGAATACTATGCAGCCATAAAAAAGAATGAGTTCATGTCCTTTGCAGGGACATGGATGAAACTGGAAACCATCATTATCTGCAAACTATCACAGGAACAGAAAACCAAACACCACATGTTCTCACTCAGAAGTAGGAGTTGAACAATGAGAACATATGGGCACAGGGAGGGGAACATCACACACCGGGGCCTGTCGGGGGTTGGGGGCAAGGGGAGGGAT
Organism: Homo sapiens; assembly: GCF_000001405.40. Taxonomy (NCBI): domain Eukaryota; kingdom Metazoa; phylum Chordata; class Mammalia; order Primates; family Hominidae; genus Homo; species Homo sapiens. The sequence goes on along the minus strand of NC_000012.12, from coordinate 31,189,373 downwards.
AGCATTAAGAGAAATACTTAATGTAGATGATGGGTTGATGGGTGCAGCAAACCACCATAACACATGTATACCTATGTAACAAACCTGCACCTTCTGCACATATATCCCAGAACTTAAAATATAATAATAAAAAATGAACAGTTTTACTTCTTTCCAAAACAAACAAAAAGAAATTACCCCAAAATCTGATGACTTAAAATGACATTTATAAAAAATAAATAAATAAATATAATTTACATTTTAAAAGTAAAAACCATAAAATATGCTCATAATAGCAGTTTAAAAACAAAAAAACTAAAAGAAGCAAAATGTTATTTTATTTCATTTTTTGTTTTTCAATACTCCATTGCTATCAGTATGCAAAAAATATTATTTTTAATGAAATAATGACTGATGTATTTTTTTGTTTTTTTGTTTACATTGTATTTTAGTGACTTAGATATATAACGTCTACATGCCTATTTCAACCTTTTTAATTAAAATATATTTTTGCCTAAAGCATTCAGCTCAATTTTAGTCCGTACCATTGTTTTAGATTTCCTCCAGAAAATAAAATTTATGGTAACTAGCTATTTAAATGTTGTTACAGTGCTGGTTTCAGCTACTAAATAAAGGTTTCAAAACCCTATACAGATTAAAAACGACCTTGACCTCTGTAATTGTGTTGTTGTTATATTCTTCTATTAGATATACCTATGGTGAACCTGTGGACGGGAAGGTCCAACTTAGTGTGTGCAGAGAATCTACGGCTTATCATTCATGTGCTCATCTTATCAGTTCACTCTGTAAAAATTTTACCATTCAGGTAAGAGGTATATCAGCAAAATTATAAATAGGTTTCCATTAACTTTTTATCCTCACCTTCCATTTACCTTCCTTTCTTCCTGTTTTCCTCTTTACAGTTAAAATATATACTTTTATTCTATATTTCTATTCCTATTTGTAAATTTTATATTCCTCTTTTGTCATGCTAAGTTTCATTTTCTATTGACTGACAAAAAGCAAATTATAGTATCAGAAACTGAGTAGTAAATTTCGATTCTTAATTAAAAATACATTTGGTTTCATATCAAAATCTACACCCTATCAATTTACTGGGAACATATGTCCTGTTCTTTATTTTATACTTTGTGAATTTAGTCAGGGAGATGTGATGTTTCTGCATATTCAAGAGTATTAGATGTATAATTATTTTCCTCTCAACCTATTCTCACTGGAAATAAGTGTATATAGGAGCTCCAGATGGGAACCCTATCAGTCAGGTTCTTAACCACTAAAGAGAAGAATCAACTTTTCCAAACTGACAAAGGAGGAATTTCCTAAAAGATCTACTTGGAAGGTTTGAGAACCAACATTCAGAAAACGGACACAAACAGGCTGGTCTAGGATGTAGCAAGGCTTTCAGCTATAATCATGCCAGATCTGACTGTCTAATATACAACTGCCAGCTGCAATCCCCATACTACAGTGTGATACCATTTATCCACACACATGTGTGCACACACACACACAGGTGCACACACACAGTGTCACATATTCCTGTCCTGTTTAGAGAATACTTTAGGTTGGAAATAATTAAGAACCTTCTAATTCTTAAATTTAAAAAATGTGGACAATAAACGCTAACAATAGTAACAATTATAATAATAATAATTGCTAACATTTAATGGATGCTTATTTTGTGTCAGTCACTGAGCTAAGTAGTTTATGTGCATTTGATTCTCAAAACAAATAGTACCCTATGAGGGGGTACTATTATCGCCCCCTTACCGATGAGTGGATTAAAGCAGAAAGAGGTTAAATACATTGCTCAAGATCATGGGTGCAGCAAAACTAGATCATAAATACATGTCAATACATATATATTTTTAGACAGTCTCACTGTGTCGCCCATGCTGGAGTGCAGTGGCGCGATATTGGCTTACCGCAACCTCTGCCTCCCGGGTTCAAGCAATTCTCGTGCCTCAACCTCCCAAGAAGCTGGGACTACAGGCGTGCACCACCACGCCCAGCTAATTTTGTATTTTTAATAGAGACGGGGTTTCACCATGTTGGCCAGCCTGGTCTTGAACTCCTGATCTCATGTGATCTGCCCGCTTCGGTCTCCCAAAGTGCTGGGGTTACAGGTGTCAGCCACTGCACCCCAACCAAGTCATATAAATATTTAAATAACTAGTGGGGCTGTATCTTTAGGGATATCAGGGATACAAAAATTTTCTCCACAAATTCATTCAACAGATAAATATTGAGGTCTTTTAATATGCAAGAATAATTTTATTTAGAAGCTTCATTGTTGAGCAAGACAGATCAGGTACTATCCTCATGGGTTTTGCACTTTATGAAGCAGTCATAATCTTTAAAGATGCACACTCTAGAAGAGACTAAACCAATATAAGCCGAGTGCACAGGGTAGGTAGATCCCAGAATGCATTATCGAAGGTGGCTATATTATAGGATGCCCTTCAGGAGATTTGAGAGCTCTGGAAATTTAAAATGTACATGTAGGGTGGGAAGGGGTGAGGATCAAAAAAACTACCTATTGGATACTATGCTTATTACCTGGATAGTGAAATAATCTGTACACCAAACCCCCATGACACACAATTTACCTATATAACAAACCTGCACAGGCACCCTTGAACCTAAAATAAAAGTTAAAATAATCAAATGCACATGTAAAGCAGGAGTGTGGACTAAATAATTTATCTCATTATTCACCTTTAGTATAGTGGAAATTTTTCTAGATCTTTAAGCTTCTGGAAATGGTTCTAGACCTTCTTATAGTTTCAAGGACCCCCTGAAGTAGCACAGGATTTTGACATCTCACCCACATCTTGAGGACTAGATTTCCTCATATCATCATAAGATGAAGGAGTAGAATAAGAAATCAGTTTTTCCCCAATATTAAAGTCCAGGAACCTATGAGCACAATTTATCCCACATTTTAAAAATATTTGACAATTCATCCTGTTTAATTTTGGTTACTAATTGTGACACTTTAAAAATTTCACTTAGTGAGACATTGTCACTTGACTAGACACTGAGAGAAATGTAAAGGAATCTAATTTAAAAATCTACTACCTACTGAATGTTTACTAAGTGCCAGGCCCTGTGCTAAATAAACACTTTCCAGTTATTGTCTAATGTAATACAGTTCTACAAGCTCTTTATTAAGATTTCATTTTGTATGAAGTAATAAGTGGTAAAGCCAGGGTTCAAATTCTGGTGTTTGACTGTAAAGCCTGTGTTCCTAACTGCTGTGTAAATAGTCCCATAAATGTCCAAGGCATGGTAACTAAATAATATAAAACTCAGTTTCAAAACTGTAAAAGAATATGGCTGAAATTACCAAAATTGCAAATATCATGTGTGAATACGTGACTAGTGATGGATGTGTTTATTATCTTGTATAATAACAAAATAATGTCACCATGAAGAGTTTTTTAAAACACAATATTGTAAGAGTTAATATTTATTAAAAAATAAATAGTTATAGGTAAATACATGAACTGAAAATATAATTATAGAAACACAATGGATTATTTTAAAAAACTAAAACTTGGGTAATACAATATTCTTAAAGTTGCTTCAGTGAGGTCACACATTTTCCCTATTATAGCTATTTCTTACAGTCTTCCTTTACAATATAACTTTTTTTTATTGTTCTTTTCAGTTGGGGAAAGATGGCTGTGTCTCCAAGTTTATTAACACAGATGCTTTTGAGTGAAATCGGGAAGGATACTGGAGTTTCCTCAAAGTGCATGCTCTTGTTACAGAGGACGGAACAGGTAATGCTCTCTAAGAAGCCAGACCCCAATGGATATCACTGTCTCATTCGAATTGTTACCTGATTGCCAACTATACAATGTCAATACAATCATTTTTTCCCTGAGGGCTTTTCATTGGGTTCATCTGATTCAAATTCTGAATGTTTCATATATCAACCAAAATTTTCACACACATGTTGATGGATGGTCAAGTGTTACATTCAAATAAGGCTACAATAGAAGTAAGAATGCCAATTTATTGATTTATAATGGGAGTATCTGGTTTTAGATATAAGCATATTCCTTTTCCTTAATCATTCCACAGATAAATATAATTGAGACATGTAGTTGTCGATTATAAAATTTTTTTGGTGAGCATAGAATTAGAACATGGGAAGTAAAATAGTTTGGGGAGAATATTTTACTAAGCCTCTGAAAATAAATCCAGTGAAAAATCTTTATCTCATCCAGGAAAATCTGTCTCCCTCCCCACTCCCTCCCTCCCTCCCTCCCTTCCTCCCTTCCTTCTTTTTCTTTTTCGGAGTTTCGCTCTTGTTGCCCAGGCTAGAGTGCGGTGGCGTAATCTTAGCTCACTGCGACCTCCGCCCGCCAGGTTCAAGCGATTCTTCCGCCTCAGCCTCCCGAGTAGCTGGGATTACAGGCGCCCGCCATCACGCCCGACTAGGTTTTTGCATTTTTAGTAGAGAGACGGGGTTTCATCATGTTGTCCAGGCTAGTCTCAAACTCCTGACCTCAGGTGATCCTCCCGCCTCGGCCTCCCAAAGTGCGTGGATTACAGTCGTGAGCCACCTCGCCCGGCCAATAATATTTCTAATGACTAATTTCTTGTATCTCCTGGACCTAATACCCCTTCTTCCTAAAGCACAAAATGGTAAGTCTTAATCCTTGAAATGCTTTTTTCTGTGCTGACCACTTTGTGTTACTGTAGTACTTTTAAACTTACGCATATGTAACTGATATTTCAGCAAAATTTCTGTTCCTGAAATATTAAATTACTAATGTACTTATATCAGTCTTCAAAGTTTTAGAGGTATCTGTCACATCCAGAGGAAATTCAAGTATTAAACAAACATTTAATTGATAATTAGGTATATTTGTCATACTGAACTAAATAAATAATAAAAGAATAGCCAGGCACAGTGGCTCACACCTATAACCCCAGCACCTGGGGAGGCTGAGGCAGAAGAATTATTTGAGCCTAGGAGTTTGAGACCATCCTCGGTGGCAACATAGTGAGACCCCGTCTCTACAAACAATACAAAATTAGCTGGGTGTTGTGTCATGCAGCTGTAATCCCAGCTACTCAGGAGGCTAAGGTGGGAGAATCACTTGAGCCCAGGAGGTTGGGGCTGCAGTGAGCCATGATCGCACCACTGCACTCCAGCCTGGGCAACAGAATGAGACCCTATCTCAAGAAAAAAAAAAGAAAAAGAAAGAGAGAGAGAAAGAGAGAGAGAGAGAAAGAGAGAGAAAGAAAGGAAGAGAGAGAAAGAAAGAAAAAGAAAGAAAGGAAGGAAGGAAGAAAGAGAAGGAAGGAAAGGAAGGAAGGCAGGAAGGAAGGAGGGAAGGGCTTGCTACATGATAACATATGTCCATATTTATATGAGAAATAATGTAGCAATTAAAAATAAGTTTTTATAAGGTTTTACAAAAACTTTATAAAATAATGATAAAAAACATGTAAAACTACATATACATTTGCACATATTGAGTGTATGTGTGCATGTACACATATACACACACAATCTCAAACATATTAATATAAATGATAAATATAAAGAGAAATAGAACTTGTGGGAAAAAGCCTAAAATGCTAATTTTGGTTCTCTTGGAGATATCTGATATTTGGTAATTTGTATTTTCTTTTTTAAGCATTTCCATTTTTAATAATACACATATATTACAATTCTTACTATTAATAAATTAAAGCATATGTTTTAGGCAAGCAGAGAGTAAAAGAAATGTTGTTAAACAATCACTTAGGAATAATGAGAAATCAACGTTTACTAATCCATCATGAAGAAATGGTAAGTGAATTGGATATTTTATAAAAAGCAGCAACACCAGTTGGCACAAGCATTTTGTGCCATCTTGATTAACTTTCTTTATAAAAGACATCTGAAGTACCTACATATTAAAACTGCTTAGGAAAGGGAAGGGAAACTATTAGAAGGAATGGTGAGCTTTTGTGGTTTTTTTCAGAAGCTCTGTTTGTCTGTTTTTGGAAGTGACATTTTCTCAATAATACTTAATTGACTGCAGGTGTGCAGCTTACAGGCTCCAAGTACGTATACATAGACTCATCAGTGGTGAAGATTAGTTTTGAGAATATGGATATGTCCTACAAACAGGGACTCCCTTATTTTGGCCAGGTTAGAAAGCAATCATTTTTTACATACCTTATTCATTCATTCATTTGTTCTTTCATTTATCTACTAATCTTCCAACAGCTATTCCCTAAGAAATTACTATGTAGGAATCTCTGTGCTAAGCACTGTAGGGTGACCTACACTGTTGATTTTCATAGATCTGTCCTGGTGTATATGTTTTATCAAGTTGTAACTGTTAATAGTTACAACCACTTCACTCTAAAAGTGTCCAAGTTTGGACAATAAATTATATAGTCTATATCAGTATTAGGAATAAAATGGTGATGTAGAGAGGCACTTTTATCACTGCTTTTATGGAGTTTATAGTGTAATAGAGATAATAAACATTAAACAGATAATTTTACAAAGAATTATTGTAGTTGTGATAGGTGCTATGTCAGTGAAATACTGACCATTTAACTACTCTACATCAGGAGCTGACAAACCACAGCCCATAGGCAAATCAGACAGAGGCCTGCCTTGATACAGCCAGTGAACTATGAGTGGTTTTAACATTTTTAAAAGATTATTTAAAAAATAAAAAAATATATGAGAGAGAGACCATGGTGTTTTACAAAAGAAGTTTGCTAAAATCTGGACTAAATGATCATGGAAAGTTTCCCTGAGGAAGTAATATTTAGGTTGACACAAGAACACTAAAAAAGAAATACAAAAGTGGGTAGCCTGGCTTACATCTTACAAAGCAGTTTCTCAAACTGGCATCAGCATCACCTAAAGGACTTACTGAAACAAATTTCAGTAAAAGTCATTTAATGAACAAATTTAGATTGAAATACAGCTTTGGCAGATAGATAAATTTGATATATGTTCACTTCACTTACTGAATAGTGGTGGATAATGTTAACATAATTTTTTCTAACCTTTCTCTTCACTTTGTACATTTTTGCTTTATATATTTCCATGTTCTGTTACTAAATATATAAAACTGAGAGATATCTTCAAAGAATATAAAATTTTTTCTGAATATAAAATAATTTTATCTAGACTTGAGAATTCTCCATTTCCTCCCTCTTACGTTGTTGTTACCCAAGATGATTTCTTGGGTTCCCATTTGTCTCTTGTATCTTTTCTGTGCAATTTAAAAGTGTTTTCTGTGTAAAGAGCATTTTGTGTGAAAATGTTATATTTTAGCTTCCTTTCTGAACTTAATCTTCTGAGGTTTTTGTTATTAGTTTGTTTTATTCGATTGGCAAAGATCTCCAATTTGAATATTAGAGATGATAGTGGACTTCCTGGTTGTATTTTGCATATTTTGGGGAATGCTTTTAAAAATGTAATGCGTAAACCTACTAAGTAACTGTAGCATTTTGTGAGACATACTTTATCGAGTCAAAAAATTTTCCTTTTTTAGTTCACTAAGAATTTTCTATAATATGTTAGTTTCTGTATCTAGATATTTCTTATTAAATTTAGGTTTTAAAATAGAGGGCATAAAATATGTTCACTTATGATTTGAAAAAATAAATCTATCATAATTTATTTCCCCTTTTTTATTACTAGTTGTGTTTGTGTTTTTTTCCCATTAGTTTTTGGATTTGTTAATTATCTTTATTTTTAATGTTATTTTAAATGATTTTCATTACATCATTTATTTTTATTATATTTTTTCTTCTACCTCTTTTGGTTTTTTTTTTCTAGCATCTTGTTATAAATACTTATGTTAAACTTCCATGTTTTCAGATTTATACAATTTTTCCTGAATACTTCTTTCCTCCTCACAGGTGTTTTTCTATACTATTTTTATTTTTTAAATTATGAAAAAATGCACATATCAAATTTACCATCTTAACAATTTTTAAGTTCAATTAAAATCATTTTTGATGATTTCATTATTTTTATTTTTATTTTTACCTAAGAATTACTTAGAGTTTTAAGTTTTCTTCTCTAGTATGTGTGATTATGGTTGTATATTTTTTTAAAAAGTAATTTTTTCTTTTGTAGTAACAGCTACAATTTATTGAGCACTTACTAGGTCTTAAATATTTGCTAAATACATATACAGTACTCACAATAGCCCCAGGAAATGATAGATGTATTTAAGTTTTGGATCAATGATTAATGATTAGCTGAGTAGAAAGCTCTTTTCTACCCTATAATAAGCTAGACATTAGAGACCGACATTCCAATTAATAGAATTAACCCTGAATTTATAGAACTGTTTTCTCATAATAATGCACATCTACTGCTAAATGACTACTCTCAAAGTTGCTTTCTTTTTCATGTTCAAAGAAAATTACATTTGCTTTCCTCTGAGTTTTACAATAGAATACTCTTCAGTGCTACTATAGAATCTATTAGGGAATTCTTTGAAATATAAATCAATTTAAGCCCTAACATCAGAGCCCCGTCCGGGAGGTGAGGGGCGCCTCTGCCCGGCCGCCCCTACTGGGAAGTGAGGAGCCCCTCTGCCCGGCCACCACCCCGTCTGGGAGGTGTACCCAACAGCTCATTGAGAACGGGCCAGGATGACAATGGCGGTTTTGTAGAATAGAAAGGGGGGAAAGGTGGGGAAAAGATTGAGAAATCGGATGGTTGCCATGTCTGTGTAGAAAGAGGTAGACATGGGAGACTTTTCATTTTGTTCTGTACTAAGAAAAATTCTTCTGCCTTGGGATCCTGTTGATCGGTGACCTTACCCCCAACCCTGTGCTCTCTGAAACATGTGCTGTATCCACTCAGGGTTGAATGGATTAAGGGCGGTGCAAGATGTGCTTTGTTAAACAGATGCTTGAAGGCAGCGTGCTCCTTAAGAGTCATCACCACTCCCTAATCTCAAGTACCCAGGGACACAAACACTAAGGAAGGCCGCAGGGTCCTCTGCCTAGGAAAACCAGAGACCTTTGTTCACTTGTTTATCTGCTGACCTTCCCTCCACTATTGTCCTGTGACCCTGCCAAATCCCCCTCTGCGAGAAACACCCAAGAATGATCAATAAAAAAAATAAAAATAAAACAAAAAAAAAAAAAAAGAAAGAAAGGAAAGTGCCCAGAAATCACATGGCTTGTTCATCTTTCTGTGACTGGAAGGGACTCAAAGGATCTTTCTAGTCTAGGTGTACTAAAATTAGGGCAAACCTCTGTGTGATCATAAAGGCATGGTGTCACGTGTCTGTGGCCTGTGGATTGCTGAGACAAGTTGAATTTTTCTTAGAAGATCAAGCCTTGAGATGAAACTAAGTTCAAAATCTGTGTAGATGGTGCAAATGAGGCATCAGTCTACAGATGCTGAGCAAGAAAAAAGGATTGTGTTTGCTTGGACCAGCAGGAAAATGATAAGTGGCAGAAATAAGATGAAAGGCTCAAAGCAGAAGTTGTTTTGCAGAAACTGACTGAGCTAAAAAAAGGATGGCTCAGACAGTTCTTCTGGTTGTTGTGGCCTTAGATGTTGTTAAGAAGGTGCCTTTAAAGGCTTCAAACTGGCATAGATACTGATGCAGGCATTGTATCTACTACAAATCATACAATTTCAGAAGGGACTTTTTAAAGCAATCATTGCCTGTACTAGTAAGAGAATGAGAAAGAGATTTCTAGCGAATAACCATGGCCTATCAGAGCAGTCACTACAATGTTTTAGGGAGGATAATGCTAAATTTTGCATTTTAGAAAATTTGGTTTGATGCCAGTATAGAGAAAGAACAAGCAAAAGCAATACAGGAGAGAGAGACTGGATAGAAAAAAATAGAAGACGTATGAGGGAAAAAAGATAAGATATTGATACAAGGAATAGCAACAGGAACAAACGTGATCAGTTGGAAACAGAAAATGTTAAAAAGATACAATTGAAAATATTTGATCAACAATTGAAAATTATGGGAGAAGAAAAATAAAAAGTCTAAGATGTCTCTAGATATTTGACTTCAGTGACTAAGTGAATGGTTGAGGTATTCTTTGAGATAAATAAGAGAAATAGAAAAAAAGGAAGGTTGGGCACAGTAATAAATCATTCCAATTTGAGAGTTTCTGTAGCATTTTTATTATAAAAAATACTCAGGATGGTTAATTCTATGGGCCTGAGTTTTCAGAGATCTTCGTGGGCAGGAGAAACAGAGTTTAGGCTCATTAGTATATTAATGGTACATGTCATACACTCAACAGGAATAGATGAAACCACACAGGAAGTGCATACGCACCAAGGAGAGCAGGGGTCCCCATGATAGAAGCTTGGCAAATGCCATCAAAATGGATGCCCAAATTTACTACATGCTTCCGAAATGTATTTTCTTCCTCTTGTACAGATTAAATTGCTTAATCCAGACAACTCTCCAATCCCAAATGAAGTTGTTCAGTTGCATCTGAAGGACAAAATCGTGGGAAACTACACCACAGATGTAAATGGCATCGCTCAGTTTTTCTTGGACACATATACGTTTACATACCCAAATATCACTTTGAAAGTAAGTTAAACGAAAGGCAAGTAAAATAAAAACAAACAAGCAAACAAAAAACTGCACTGGCTAGCTAAGGTTTAGGTCTATGCGAAATTATATTTATGGAACAGAAATGAAAAGATACACCTTGGTGTGAATCTAGAGTACTGAAAAATAGTTAAATATTAAGAATATAGGCCCTATGAAAAGTAGGTTAAAAATTATTTTAAGAGTCCCGGGAAAAGACAGAAGGTTAGCATACATACTAAATTGTATAAAGGAGAATTAGCTGAAAATAAGCAACGCTTCACTTTTATTAAGGAAATAGAAAGAGAATTGTGTTTTTATAGAAGGAAATATTTGAGAAACCCTGTAATCTATTACCTTGGAATAATGTAAAGAATTTCTCTGGATATATTCAAGAGAGAAGTAAACTACTATCTGTAATAATTAAATATCAATCCTTCCTAGATATTTTTAAAGGACTCCTCAGACTTTTTGTGTTGATAATGGTAAATTACTATGGTCAGAGTAAACTCCTTGCTGTATTTCATAAAAACTTTCCCATCTTTCAGCAAAACTTCATATTATGTTATCAGTAGCAAGGTAAACGTTTGCACTCATGGGTTCTTCGTATTATAGTGAGGGAGATATAGCAATCTACTTGCTAGCAAAAGTAATAATTATAGTAAAGAATACAGTAAAATATTGAATGTAATATTATTGAAGTAGGACTTGAATAGACTAAATTGTAAAAACCATAGTGGTCGCTCTAGAGTATAACTAGAAAATGGGGAATTGGGTTAGATTTAATGTAGAATGGCTATAAAATTTTCTTGCAGAGATAAAGCAGCATGATGATAAACCATCTTATCAAATATTCTTTCACTCATCCTTTCTCTTTATCCTAAAATACCCGTAATTTTGATTTTTTGTCTAGGCAGCCTACAAGGCCAATGAAAATTGCCAGGCTCATGGCTGGGTGTTGCCTCAATACCCTCAGCCCGAGTACTTTGCATATCGATTTTACTCCAAGATGAATAGCTTCCTAAAGATTGTCCAAGAGATGGAAGAACTGAGATGCAACCAGCAGAAGAGGGTGCTAGTGCACTGCATTCTCAATATGGAAGACTTTGAAGACAAAACCTACACAGCAGACTTCAATTATTTGGTATGAGCTGAAAATATTCTTCCACAATCAAAATTGCTTCTTTTCTTTAAAACTTCTTTGAACCTAATGAAATCCCTGTACCTATATGCCACGAGGAAGCTCAAAGTTAACATAAATGATAAAACTTATATAACTGGTATCTATTTTTAAGAAAGGAGGGAAAAGGCCATGACACCACAACCCATATGCACTCTGTCATTCTCAGACCCTTTCTTCAGAGTTACCCATTTCTATTTGGACATTGCTGGGATCAAACCAGAGTTCTGATATGTACTAGCTTTGTGTTACTTTTTGAAAGCCACTTAAACCTCTAGAGAATCTTAGTTTTTTGTAATATATTGTCTAATCATCAAGATAATTATTTAATAATACATATAAAGCCCTTTGCCCAACTTCTGGCACACAAAAGATATTAAGTATTAGTTTGATTTTAATATATTGCTATTATGGATTATTTTACACTGTCTAAATGGGTGCATGATACTTCATTGAGATTTAGGAAGATGATATAAAATTAATGAAACATGAATTAATTCAATCAGCCAACACTTATTGAATGTTTTTCATATTCCAGGTGCTGTATTAGCAATTGTAACAATAGAAGAAATAGAAAAAGTATAACTGGGGACAAAACATATATTAGAATTACATAAGTGTTACAAACGAAACATGTATGGCCACTGAGGTGTTACAGAAAAATGAATGATTAACTCTAGCTGGAGTTTAGGACAGTGATTATCAGAGTATATTTCCTAGAGTAGCAGTATCAGCATCACCTAGGAATAATTTAGAAATTCTGGGAATAAGTGGCCAGGCGCAGGGGCTCACGCCTGTAATCCCAGCACTTTGGGGGGCCGAGATGGGCGGATCACGAGGTCAGGAGATCCAGACCATCCTGGCTAACACGGTGAAACCGCGTCTCCACTAAAAATACAAAAAGAAATCAGCCTGGCATGGTGGCGGGCGCCTGTAGTCCCAGCTACTCAGGAGGCTGAGGCAGGAGAATGGTGTGAACCCAGCAGGCGGAGCTTGCAGTGAGCCGTGATGGTGCCACTGCACTCCAACCTGGGTGACAGAGCAAGACTCTGTCTCAAAAAAAAAAAAAAAAAAAAAAAAAAAAAACATAGGAATAAGTTAGAAATCTTGTCCTCCGAAGCACATTAAAATTTGACAACCACTAGTTTAGGAAAAAGATATATGCCTATATATTTACATTTATATGTATATACATATTTTTAAGGAAAAAATACATAAAGAGAATATGCCTAAATAGGATTTTGTGGGATGAATAGGAGTTTTCTGGATGATTAGAGGATATGAGAAACACATTTAAGCTTATTTTAGGAAATAATATAAGAGGTCAAAGATGTCTGAAGTGTATTATTCTGAGAACTAAAGGTGTTTGAGTCTATCTATGTGAAGAATGAAAGTAGTACCACATGATTTCTCACATTTTGCAAACTTAGAATTCTGGAATAGTCTTTTGATACTTCTTTTTTTCGTGCTATTTACTGCATCACCAATTTCTATCACTTTTTCATTATATTATCTCTCGCATTTTTTCTTTCCTTCATCATTTCCACAAACATTAAAATATTTCAAACCAGCAAGGTATGGACACCAAACCATCAGAAAAGGTATGAGTGATAATTCCACTGAAGCCCTTAGCTAAGCCAAGCATGGCTCATTTAGACTGGGGGCAAAGTGGTGGGAGTGGGAGGAGCTGGTTGTGGAGGAGAGGTTCTAGGGAAGCAGGGAGGGGACTCTGGGGAGCTCAGGGAAGTGGCTCTTTACCAACCGGTACAGAAATCCTTCAACATGTCAACAATAATATTGCCATACTGGGGTGTGAGAAATACCAAGCATCCTTGAATGAGAAGCTGAACCTCTTTTTTTTTTTTTTTTTTTTGAGACAGAGCCTCGCTCAGTCGCCCAGGCTGGAGTGCAGTGGCTCGATCTCCGCTCACTGAAAGCTCCGCGTCCTGGGTTCACGGCATGCTCCTGCCTCGGCCTCCCGAGTAGCTGGGACTACAGGCGCCCGCCACCACGCCCGGCTAATTTTTTTGTATTTTTTTAGTAGAGACGGGGTTTCACCGTGTTAGCCAGGATGGTCGCGATCTCCTGACCTCGTGATCTGCCCGCCTCGGCCTCCCAAAGTACCGGGATTACAGGGAAGCTGAACCTCTTAACTAGTTTTTATAAAGACACTCCCACATGCCCCTGACTTTTGCCTTCTTTTCTGGCCACACCTCTGCTCGACTTAATATCCAATACTTCCTAATCCAGAGCTGAGCCATTTTGCAGGTCTGTGGTGTGAATTGATCTACTTGTCATCAGCTTCCCTCTTGAAATAGCGTAGGTTTGCCCCCCTCTGATCTGATAAGGCCTTTACAATTACTTTACCTCATTTCCATTTTAAATGAGTCTGCTAATAGCCTTTTTCTTCCTCTCTCCCTTCTTCCTTCCTCCCTCCTTTTCTTCTTTCTTTCTTTATTCTGGAAATCTAGAGTGATTTTTAAAAAAAGCAATTAGGATTATTTATTTCACTCCCCTAATTGAAATACAGTTAATGACTGCCTATTTCTATTGAAACAAATACCAGACTCCTTTCTTTTGCCTGCAACACTGTATCTGCTCTGCACCTGTGAAGCTCGCCCGCTTCATTTTGCATCATTCTACACTTCAGCCTTCTTTATTGCAGACACAGAGGGCTTTCATTTTCTTGGACAAGCCATGTGCTTTTCTGGCTCCGAAGCCTCCCACAGGTTTTCCCTTCTGCCCATAACAATCTTCGTTCCCATTTGCTACCACAGTTCCCAACCTGCCTGCACCTCATTTTCCGAGCTGATTCCTCCTCAGCATTCATCTCTTGGCTTAAATGAAACTTTCTAATCTCCTAGACAATTCCAGTCTTCTACATATTCTTTCATAATAGGCTGGGTGGACTTTAATTCTGCCTAGCAGGGTACACATCACAGAGAGAACCCTCAATATCATATTTTAGAATGAATGGATAGAGGCTGAATTAATTTGATTCTCAGGCTTTCAGTAATTAATTTGATACTCAGTCTTTTAAGCTTTTTTCTTAATTGTGTGACCTGACAAATATCAGTACCTCTGTGTGCCTCTTCAGTTTACTCATCTGTTACGAGAGCTGTCTTTCCATTTTGAGAAGTCAGTGAGCTACTACAGCCAACAGTGCTGAGACCTCTCAGGCTCATTAAACTTTGAGCTTTATGCCTTTTTGCAAATGTTCTAGTTCCCAAAACAATATTTTCCAGCTAGTTGAGGCTCAGTTCTTTTTTTATGAGCTAATAACCCAAACTTGGCACTTCAGAGATTTAAAGCAATTTTAATATTCAGTGAAATATTAAACGGACTAGGAGTACCAGCTCCTGCAATTTCAAGCTGCAAGATCTTACGGAAGCTTTAAATTTTCTGCAAGTCTCAGCATCTTTTAAAATAATATTCTAAAACTGTAATTTAAAAATTCAAGGAGTTTGTACTAGATTTCAAGTCTCCAGCCTTTGTTTGCACTTTAGAGATCATAACAAAAGTCTGCTGATGCAAATTTGCACACAGTTGCTGATAAAGGTGAAGTGAGAGAAGCTTTTTTCTGGAGCACCCCCAGCTTGCTACTTTATTTTCTTTTCTTTAAATTTTGGGTGGAGATGGATGAACAGGCCTTGCTTATACCTTGCATATCAAACACACCTTTCAGAAAACCAGACAAGCACTGGGAGACTCTTAATGCCTTTGTGTAACTTTGTTTCACTGAACTAAATAAATTTAGATGTAATTCAGCATTTGCAAATATGAATAAAAAGTTGTTTATTGGTCTTAGAAAACTGTTTTGGAATGTGGAACATTAAATTGCTTTATAGCAAGTTTATCTGTGACTCCTAAATTCTCTTGAATATAGCTGTTAGAGTCATATGCTTGTTTACTGGTAACCTGAGTTTACTAGTAAACATGTCAATAGTATTGCTCAGACAAGAAAAGGAGGTAAATCACATTCGTTTATAATTAAATGAAATTTAGTTTCTATCCTCTAAACTTTACGATTATATTTTCATTTTCCTAGGTGATTTCAAAAGGTGTAATCATTCTTCATGGGCAACAGAAAATTGAGATCAACGAAAATGGTGAGGCCTCTAATTTTAGCATATAATTTAATACAAATAGAATGCTTTAATTGGGATATATTTTACATTTTTCTTTAAAAGTCACAATCCTCCCATTTTAGGACTGTTTACTGCCCCCTAAACTACCCTTGGGGAACATGTAAAGACATGTGAATAGGCACAATGCCAAATGAAAAAATAATTACTTAATTAATAGTGCATTAATTATATTCCAAACACTACTATAATGGGAAAGGGTCATTGTCCTTCCCTTTCTTTTCCAAGAAAGACAGGTAAGTACTTTTACATTCAAACAAGAAGGGATTTTTAAAAAGAAACAAAAGTAGACTGAAGTTTGACGTAATAAGAAATGTTCAACTATTTCTTTCTTTTATAATTTATGGAATAGGTTATGAACTCCTCCTAGAAATGCTTTATAAATTAAATTTGGTGGGTCGGGGCAGTCTCTTTGGCAGTGGGTAGGATGGCTAGAAACTCAATGGAGGGTTTCTGCAAGATGACAGTCAGCTATCTCACCAAAGCACTTTTTCGGTTTGAAATTTTCTTTTCACAGGGAGGAAGGGCATATTTTCCATTTCTATAGACATTAACCCTGAATTAGCGCCCTCAGTACATATGCTTGTCTATAGCTTGCATCCTGGAGGAGAAATGGTCACTGATAGCACCCAATTCCAATTGAGAAATGCTTCGAAAATCAGGTAGGTGCCAAAAATGATTCTTTTTTAATTTGGGGGAAAACTAAGGAGAACTTAAGAGAGTGTTGGGTTTAAACTCCCAATTTTTCATAGAATTGCAAAATGAAAAATAAAAGAAAGCTATGGAGAAGTTAATATGTTGGATGATTGAAGAGTAGCAGGATTATAGCATTCACTTTGGATGTTGTTCCAAATCCAGTTGTTCCTAATAATAATATTATTAGGTGGGTAAAGCACAGAAAGCCCTTTTAACTTATGTGTGTTTTTAAAAAAGTTAAGAATAGTCTAAAAGATGATTCTTCTCATATGGCTTGCCATCCTTTTGCCCTTTTATTTTCATTTTCAGGTCAACTTAAATTTTTCTAAAGAAAAAAGTTTACCAGGATCCAATGTCGATCTTCAAGTCTCGGCTGCTTCAAACTCTCTTTATGCTCTTTGGGCGGTAGACCAGAGGGTATTGCTACTAAGGAATTATGGTCAGCTGCCAGCACAAACTGTGAGTGATTAAAACCATCTTTGTTTACCACCCACAGTATAGTTTTATGTCTTTACCTTTGGATAAAAACAGGATACCTTAAATAAACTAGAGGAGAAAAAAATTGTCCAGAGTTCCAGGCATAAAAAATATTTTAGGTTAGAAATCATGTACAATGACTCTACTCCAATTATACTGATTCTCTTATGGAAAAAATGAGCAACACTTTTAAAAATAAATAACAATTGCTAAAGGTCTACTATTTGACACTTGCTCTACTGAGTATTCCCATATCTATTATTTAATTTTATTCTCATATTAATCAACCCTATAGAACTAATGCAGTATTCCCATTTTGATTAATGTCTAATCTTAGGCTCAGGGAGATTTAGTAAATTAACCGAGAACATTCTCTAACAATGTCCTTGAATGAGTCCTCAAAGAGTATTGAGCAGTGCCTTTATCTGGAATGTATTAAAATCCAGTTGAGCCTCATGGACTTTTTGTTAGTTTTAATGTGATTTAGCCAGCAGTTATTTAACTGATTAAATAGTATTTCAAAGTTTTTACAGATCTAAGATCCTATACTTTCTCAATATGTGTTTATTTGGTATAGGTATGATGACAGTTCTACACAGGATATTCATAGGATTATATAGGTTATTTATATACTGCTTGTGGGGAAAAATGAATTGTTTTCTATGAAAAAATACAGTTGATTCTCTTCTAACATCTAGGTGTATAGTCAGCTACATTCCAGCGAACTACATGGCTATTATTTCAGAGGACTTAACTTAGAAGATGGCCTTAAAGTGCCGTGTCTTGAAGATGGACATATCCTTTACAATGGAATTTATTACACACCTGCATGGGCTGACTTTGGAAAAGATGGCTATGACCTTGTGAAGGTAAGGCAACTAAGTCTTAAAATGGTGAATATATGTGACAATATATAAATAAATAGAAATATTCATGGTGTGGGTTTTTAATCTCAGAATTCTTAGAGTACAAATTTACAATTAGTACTAATGTCTGAGAAATAATATCTCAAATAATGTTATAATAGCAAAAAGACTTAATAAAGTTCTTATAGTTATAATTATATAATAGTTATAATATTATAAAGCTATAATAGTTATTCTATATAGTTACAATAAATTATAGTTATAATATATTTTTAAAAGTTGTATTAATATAATTTTATTTAAAAGTTATAAAGTTATAATTATAAAGTTATAAGGTTATTATAATGTTATAATAAGGTTAAGTTATAAGGTTATTAGAACTTCATTATAAAACTATAATAATATTTTAAATAACTAATAATATTATAATATTAGGAAAAGAACTAATATGTGAGGGAATTATCAGCTTTCCTGACATAATATTATGTACATTATATACTGGTGTCTAATATAAATCCCCATTTTGCTCCTACGTCTACCCTCGAATTTGATTTCTACTATTTTAAAGTATTCTACTATATTTAAAGTGTTTATAAGTGAGATAATATCCCTAGTTCAACAAAAATGCCAAATTCAAAGTAGTGAAAGTACAGTGGGGTATGATATGAGATGTCTTTTTTTGTCCTCTCTTATTTAAAGGTTTTCATCAACAGCTCTTAATTAGGAAAATAGAGCAAAAGCCATTAGAATTAGAGAAACTAAGGAACTCAAAGACATGGAATTTAGGAAATGTCAGTGAAGTATCTCTAAATATATGACAATTAGAGATGGAGAAATAAATAAGTGGAAATTGAAAATATACATAGAACAAAAAACCAGTCCAGACTGCTAGTCTATGTTGTTATGTGATCTAAAATTGATTTTATCTTGAAAGGCAACAGGATTAAAGATTTTTACCAACTCTCACCTCCGGAAACCAGTATTGTGCAAGGATTCTAACCATCTTGAATCTACTGATTACATACCCTTAGGTAAGTCACAGTATAATGCGAAGGGCAGGTGACAGGTTATAATCTCTTAATGCTTTTAAACTGATTGGGAAAAGAGGGGAGGTGATTATTTTCTTTTGCTTTGTCTTTTAATTCATTTAATGTGCCTGTCATGTCAGATGTTAGAAATACAGTGAGAATAATGCAGGTAAATCTTTATATTCGTGAAGTTTACATTGAATTTGGGATGCAGACAATATACAAATGGCTGCATATTGTCATTTGTATATTTCTTGTGTTGCTGTAAAGAAATACTTGAGGCTGGGTAATTTACAAAGAAAATAGGGGCCAAGTGCGGTGGCTCACACCTATAATCCCAGCACTTTGGGAGGCTGAGGCAGGCAGATCACCTGAGGTCAGGAGTTTGAGACAAGCCCGGGTAACATGTTGAAACCCTGTTTCTACTAAAAATACAAAAAATTAGCCAGGCGTGGTGGTGCATGCCTCTAATCCCAGCTACTCGGGAGGCTGAGGCAGAAGAATCACTTGAACCCAGGAGGCAGAGGTTGCAGTGAGCCAAGATTGTGCCATTGCACTCCAGCTTGGGCAACAAGAGTGAAACTCCTTTTCAAAAAAAAAAAAAAGGAAGAAAATAGGTTAAACTGGCTCACGGTTTTGCAGGCTGTGCAGCAAACATGGTGCTGGCATCTGCTCGGTTTCTGGGGAGGCCTCAGAAAACTTACAGTCGTGGTGAAAGACAAGGGGGAGCAAGTGTCTCACGTGGCCAGTATGGGAGCAAGAAGAGGAGAGGCATCACATACTTTTAAACAATCAGATCTCACAAGAAGTCACTCACCATTGCAAGAACAGCACCAAGCAATGAAGGGTCTGCCCCCATGACCCAAACACTTCCTGCCAGGCCCCACCTCCAACACTGGGGATAACAGTTCAACCTGAGATTTGAGGGGACAAATATTCAAACTATATCAATGGCATAATTTCAGATGGTATTAAGTGCTCTGATAGTTAATCTTTCCTGAATTATTGCTACATACCAAGCAACATTCTAAGCATTTTACAAATGTCAACCCATTTATTCATCACAGTCTATAGATTGGAAGCTATTAACTGCAACTTATCAATGAGAAAAATGAAGCTTAGGCAGGTTAAGTAACTTGTCCAATGCAACAGATGCTAAATAACAGAGATGGGATTATAATCCAGACGTTCTGATCCCAAAGACCATGTTTCTCTATCGTGAGTTACTATCTCTCAAAGAACTACTGTAAGGAAAATAAAACAAGATAAAGGAAAAGAGCAGAACATCAGGACGCTATTTTATTTTATTTTTATTTTTTTTTTATTATTATTGTACTTTAAGTTTTAGGGTACATGTGCACAATGTGCAGGTTAGTTACATATGTATACATGTGCCATGCTGGTGCACTGCACCCACTAACTCGTCATCTAGCATTAGGTATATCTCCCAATGCTATCTCTCCCCCCGCCCCTGACCCCACAACAGTCCCCAGAGTGTGATGTTCCCCTTCCTGTGTCCATGTGTTCTCATTGTTCAGTTCCCACCTACGAGTGAGAATATGCAGTGTTTGGTTTTTTGTTATTGTGATAGTTTACTGAGAATGATGATTTCCAATTTCATCCATGTCCCTACAAAGGACATGAACTCATCATTTTTTATGGCTGCATAGTATTCCATGGTGTATATGTGCCACATTTTCTTAATCCAGTCTATCATTGTTGGACATTTGGCTTGGTTCCAAGTCTTTGCTATTGTGAATAATGCCGCAATAAACATACGTGTGCATGTGTCTTTATAGCAGCATGATTTATAGTCCTTTGGGTATATACCCAGTAATGGGATGGCTGGGTCAAATGTTATTGCTAGTTCTAGATCCCTGAGGAATCGCCACACTGACTTCCACAATGGTTGAACTAGTTTACAGTCCCACCAGCAGTGTAAAAGTGTTCCTATTTCTCCACATCCTCTCCAGCACCTGTTGTTTCCTGACTTTTTAATGATCGCCATTCTAACTGGTGTGAGATGGTATCTCATTGTGGTTTTGATTGGCATTTCTCTGATGGCCAGTGATGATGAGCATTTTTTCATGTGTTTTTTGGCTGCATAAATGTCTTCTTTTGAGAAGTGTCTGTTCATGTCCTTTGCGCACTTTTTGTTGGGGTTGTTTGTTTTTTTCTTGTAAATTTGTTGGAGTTCATTGTAGATTCTGGATATTAGCCCTTTGTCAGATGAGTAGGTTGCAAAAATTTTCTCCCATTTTGTAGGTTGCCTGTTCACTCTGATGGTAGTTTCTTTTGCTGTGCAGAAGCTCTTTAGTTTAATTAGGTCCCATTTGTCAATTTTGGCTTTTGTTGCCATTGCTTTTGGTGTTTTAGACATGAAGTCCTTGCCCATGCCTATGTCCTGAATGGTAATGCCTAGGTTTTCTTCTAGGGTTTTTATGGTTTTAGGTCTAACGTTTAAGTCTTTAATCCATCTTGAATTGATTTTTGTATAAGGTGTAAGGAGGGGATCCAGTTTCAGCTTTCTACATATGGCTAGCCAGTTTTCCCAGCACCATTTATTAAATAGGGAATCCTTTCCCCATTGCTTGTTTTTCTCAGGTTTGTCAAAGATCAGATAGTTGTAGATATGCGGTGTTATTTCTGAGGGCTCTGTTCTGTTCCATTGGTCTATATCTCTGTTTTGGTACCAGTACCATGCTGTTTTGGTTACTGTAGCCTTGTAGTATAGTTTGAAGTCAGGTAGTGTGATGCCTCCAGCTTTGTTCTTTTGGCTCAGGATTGACTTGGCGATGCAGGCTCTTTTTTGGTTCCATATGAGCTTTAAAGTCGTTTTTTCCAATTCTGTGAAGAAAGTCATTCTTAGCTTGATGGGGATGGCATTGAATCTGTAAATTACCTTGGGCAGTATGGCCATTTTCACGATATTGATTCTTCCTACCCATGAGCATGGAATGTTCTTCCATTTGTTTGTATCCTCTTTTATTTCCTTGAGCAGTGGTTTGTAGTTCTCCTGGAAGAGGTCCTTCACATCCCTTGGAAGTTGGATTCCTAGGTATTTTATTCTCTTTGAAGCAATTGTGAATGGGAGTTCACTCATGATTTGGCTGTTTGTCTGTTGTTGGTGTATAAGAATGCTTGTGATTTTTGTACATTGATTTTGTATCCTGAGACTTTGCTGAAGTTGCTTATCAGCTTAAGGAGATTTTGGGCTGAGACAATGGGGTTTTCTAGATAAACAATCATATCGTCTGCAAACAGGGACAATTTGACTTCCTCTTTTCCTAATTGAATACCCTTTATTTCCTTCTCCTGCCTAATTGCCCTGGCCAGAACTTCCAACACTATGTTGAATAGGAGTGGTGAGAGAGGGCATCCCTGTCTTGTGCCAGTTTTCAAAGGGAATGCTTCCAGTTTTTGCCCATTCAGTATGATATTGGCTGTGGGTTTGCATAGATAGCTCTTATGATTTTGAGATACGTCCCATCAATACCTGATTTATTGAGAGTTTTTAGCATGAAGGGTTGTTGAATTTTGTCAAAGGCCTTTTCTGCATCTATTGAGATAATCATGTGGTTTTTGTCTTTGATTCTGTTTATATGCTGGATTACATTTATTGATTTGCATATATTGAACCAGCCTTGCATCCCAGGGATGAAGCCCACTTGATCATGGTGGATAAGCTTTTTGATGTGCTGCTGGATTCGGTTTGCCAGTATTTTATAGAGGATTTTTGCATCAATGTTCATCAAGGATGTTGGTCTAAAATTCACTTTTTTGGTTGTGTCTCTGCCCGGCTTTGGTATCAGGATGATGCTGGCCTCATAAAATGAGTTAGGGAGGATTCCCTCTTTTTCTATTGATTAGAATAGTTTCAGAAGTAATGGTACCAGTTCCTCCTTGTACCTCTGGTAGAATTCGGCTGTGAATCCATCTGGTCCTGGACTCTTTTTCGTTGGTAAGCTATTGATTATTGCCACAATTTCAGCTCCTGTTATTGGTCTATTCAGAGATTCAAATTCTTCCTGGTTTAGTCTTGGGAGAGTGTATATGTCAAGGAATTTATCCATTTCTTCTAGATTTTCTAGTTTATTTGCGTAGAGGTGTTTGTAGTATTCTCTGATGGTAGTTTGTATTTCTGTGGGATCGGTGGTGATATCCCCTTTATCATTTTTTATTGCGTCTATTTGATTCTTCTCTCTTTTTTTCTTTATTAGTCTTGCTAGCGGTCTATCAATTTTGTTGATCCTTTCAAAAAACCAGCTCCTGGATTCATTAATTTTTTGAAGGGTTTTTTGTGTCTCTATTTCCTTCAGTTCTGCTCTGATTTTAGTTATTTCTTGCCTTCTGCTAGCTTTTGAATGTGTTTGCTCTTGCTTTTCTAGTTCTTTTAATTGTGATGTTAGGGTGTCAATTTTGGATCTTTCCTGCTTTCTCTTGTGGGCATTTAGTGCTATAAATTTCCCTGTACACACTGCTTTGAATGTGTCCCAGAGATTCTGGTATGTTGTGTCTTTGTTCTCATTGGTTTCAAAGAACATCTTTATTTCTGCCTTCATTTCGTTATGTACCCAGTAGTCATTCAGGAGCAGGTTGTTCAGTTTCCATGTAGTTGAGTGGTTTTGAGTGAAGTTCTTAATCCTGAGTTCTAGTTTTATTGCACTGTGGTCTGAGAGATAGTTTGTTATAATTTCTGTTCTTTTACATTTGCTGAGGAGAGCTTTACTTCTAAGTATGTGGTCAATTTTGGAATAGGTGTGGTGTGGTGCTGAAAAAAATGTATATTCTGTTGATTTGGGGTGGAGAGTTCTGTAGATGTCTATTAGGTCCGTGCAGAGCTGAGTTCAATTCCTGGGTATCCTTGTTGACTTTCTGTCTCATTGATCTGTCTAATGTTGACAGTGGGGTGTTAAAGTCTCCCATTATTAATGTGTGGGAGTCTAAGTCTCTTTGTAGGTCACTCAGGACTTGCTTTATGAATCTTGGTGCTCCTGTATTGGGTGCATATATATTTAGGATAGTTAGCTCTTCATGTTGAATTGATCCCTTTCCCATTATGTAATGGCCTTCTTTGTCTCTTTTGATCTTTGTTGGTTTAAAGTCTGTTTTATCAGAGACTAGTATTGCAACCCCTGCCTTTTTTTGTTTTCCATTGGCTTGGTAGATCTTCCTCCATCCTTTTATTTTGAACCTATGTGTGTCTCTGCACATGAGATGGGTTTCCTGAATACAGCACACTGATGGGTCTTGACTCTTTATCCAATTTGCCAGTGTGTGTCTTTTAATTGGAGCATTTAGTCCATTTACATTTAAAGTTAATATTGTTATGTGTGAATTTGATCCTGTCATTATGATGTTAGCTGGTTATTTTGCTCGTTAGTTGATGCAGTTTCTTCCTAGTCTTGATGGTCTTTACATTTTGGCATGATTTTGCAGCGGCTGGTACCGGTTGTTCCTTTCCATGTTTAGCGCTTCCTTCAGGAGCTCTTTTAGGGCAGGCCTGGTGGTGACAAAATCTCTCAGCATTTGCTTGTCTGTAAAGTATTTTATTTCTCCTTTGCTTATGAAGCTTAGTTTGGCTGGATATGAAATTCTGGGTTGAAAATTCTTGTCTTTAAGAATGTTGAATATTGGCCCCCACTCTCTTCTGGCTTGTAGGGTTTCTGCCGAGAGATCCGCTGTTAGTCTGATGGGCTTCCCTTTGAGGGTAACCCTACCTTTCTCTCTGGCTGCCCTTAACATTTCTTCCTTCATTTCAACTTTGGTGAATCTGAGAATTATGTGTCTTGGAGTTGCTCTTCTCGGGGAGTATCTTTGTGGCGTTCTCTGTATTTCCTGAATCTGAACGTTGGCCTGCCTTGCTAGATTGGGGAAGTTCTCCTGGATAATATCCTGCAGAGTGTTTTCCAACTTGGTTCTATTTTCCCCATCACTTTCAGGTACACCAATCAGACGTAGATTTGGTCTTTTCACATAGTCCCATATTTCTTGGAGGCTTTGCTCATTTCTTTTTATTCTTTTTTCTCTAAACTTCCCTTCTCGCTTCATTTCATTCATTTCATCTTCCATCGCTGATACCCTTTCTTCCAGTTGATCGCATCAGCTCCTGAGGCTTCTGCATTCTTCACGTAGATCTCGAGCCTTGGTTTTCAGCTCCATCAGCTCCTTTAAGCACTTCTCTGTATTGGTTATTCTAGTTATGCATTCTTCTAAATTTTCTTCCAAGTTTTCAACTTCTTTCCCTTTGGTTTGAATGTCCTCCTGTAGCTCAGAGTAATTTGATCATCTGAAGCCTTCTTCTCTCAGCTCGTCAAAGTCATTCTCCATCCAGCTTTGTTCCGTTGCCGGTGAGGAACTGCATTCCTTTGGAGGAGGAGAGGCGCTCTGCTTTTTAGAGTTTCCAGTTTTTCTGTTCTGTTTTTTCCCCATCTTTGTGGTTTTATCTACTTTTGGTCTTTGATGATGGTGATGTACAGATGGGTTTTTGGTGTGGATGTCCTTTCTGTTTGTTAGTTTTCCTTCTAACAGACAGGACCCTCAGCTGCAGGTCTGTTGGAATACCCTGCCGTGTGAGGTGTCAGTGTGCCCCTGCTGGGGGGTGCCTCCCAGTTAGGCTGCTCAGGGGTCAGGGGTCAGGGACCCACTTGAGGAGGCAGTCTGCCCGTTCTCAGATCTCCAGCCGCATGCTGGGAGAACCACTGCTCTCTTCAAAGCTGTCAGACAGGGACATTTAAGTCTGCAGAGGTTACTGTTGTCTTTTTGTTTGTCTGTGCCCTGCCCCCAGAGGTGGAGCCTACAGAGGCAGGCAGGCCTCCTTGAGCTGTGGTGGGCTCCACCCAGTTCGAGCTTCCCGGCTGCTTTGTTTACCTAAGCAAGCCTGGGCAATGGCGGGCGCCCCTCCCCCAGCCTCGCTGCCGCCTTGCAGTTTGATCTCAGACTGCTGTGCTAGCAACCAGCGAGACTCCGTGGGGTAGGACCCTCCAAGCCAGGTGCGGGATATAATCTCGTGGTGCACCGTTTTTTAAGCCCGTCGGAAAAGCCCAGTATTCGGGTGGGAGTGACCCGATTTTCCAGGTGCCCTCCGTCACCCCTTTCTTCGACTCGGAAAGGGAACTCCCTGACCCCTTGCGCTTCCCAAGTGAGGCAATGCCTCGCCCTGCTTTGGCTGGCGCACGGTGCGCGCACCCACTGACCTGCGCCCACTGTCTGGCACTCCCTAGTGAGATGAACCCGGTACCTCAGATGGAAAGGCAGAAATCACCGTCTTCTGTGTCGCTCAAGCTGGGAGCTGTAGACCAGAGCTGTTCCTATTCGGCCATCTTGGCTCCTCCCCTCCACAGTCAGTAATTTTTTAAAAAATCCCTCACAGGTAAATTATCAGCCTCTATCTAAGCACATACAATAATGAGGCATTTTGATTACAGAACTGCTCTGCAATAAATGAGAGTTTTAACATAAAAATTGAAAGTACTCACTTTTCAATGTATATCTTCAACCAAAAATTTAGAGCAACCTTTCTCAACTGTTATATAAGAAAATTGCTTTATTGTTTAACTCCACAGAGAATGTTTCGAGAGACCATTTGATGCATAAATAGTACCATTCAGGATACATAGGAGAGAATGGTACTATTTATGCATCAATAAATGTAATATTAATTCATTACATTCAGTAGCTGTATTGGAGACTTAGAGATAATTCTGTTACAGAACTCCGGATGGTAAGGGCTAATTTAAAGTTCCTAGCTTGTTTTTCTTTTCTTTAATTTTCTCAGAACTCTTAGAAGTGATCAGCCTGGTATCGTTCCATAGCAGTGGAAATTTGTGGTCCCCAAATGCTTGCTGTCAATAGGCACTTTGTCAATGGTGAACAGGAGATTATTTGATTATCTTTTTCACCAGTGCGTGATAGGGAGTGCTGAATTTTCATGCCTTGATATTTATATAATTTTCATTGGAGTCCACTTCAGTTAGGCAGACACCCATCCCTAAGGTCTCACTCCTATCTTTCTCAAAGACATTCTGCCTCATTACCAAAGCACATGAGCTCCTGGAAAGATAAATATCTAAATATTCTATAAAATACTGAATATTACCTCACTAATAACATCTGAGATGAGAGGCAAAGATTATGACTATCAGGAATAACCAGAATTTGGGGCCAAATTGTCTTCATTGTAGGACTAACAGAGACCAGATCCATCTTCTGGTTATTTATTCATTTTCCAAATGTGTAGGTATAATTGACAAGTCTAGCAATGATCAGAATTCCCACTGTGGCTCCTCGTGTGTGGAATAAACACATTGGAGTGGATGTGAAAAGGTTCTGCCTATCTTATCCTAAATGAACTAGAAGTTGCCATTATACTCACAGTTCCCTGAAAATAAACTCTTCCATGGCCTCCCCATTTCACTCCCTTCTGATTCCCAGTCTCAGAACAGAGCATCTCATTGGTCGAGCCTGTCATTTACCTGCCCCCTGGATTCAAGGTAATCTGGGAATGGAGTCTTCTAACTTCTTTACTGGAAGTGAAACGCATATGTTGGGAAATTACCAAAGTATATGACAAGTCTACAAATGGCCTGAGGTAAAGATGTACACTCTTTTATAAGCCTTAACAAATGTGTGGCAAGATGATCAGGGATTTAGAACAAGACACATTAAGGGACTAATTCCAAGGAAGTTGAGGAATGAAATTATATTAAAGGGCTTGTTTCTGTCTCTTCTAGAGATATGTCTGGGAACCAAGGTACGGATTGGTAGTGGCTTTTGCAGAATACTTGTTTTCCATCCTCAGGAATAGGAGTTGTTTTCATTTAGACCTTTTAGGATCCAGGAAAGAAGTATATTTTCATTAACATGCTTAAGAATAGTTTCACTGAATTGGAAGCTGAGAGTATTATCTGGCCATTTGGAGATTCCCACATCCAGTCCTCTGGGATAACACAGCCAAACTGTCAAGAAACAGTACATTTACTGATATACTTTGGGGACAGGAGGATGAATGCAACTAAATGGATCTCATGGAGCCCCTCCATGTCCCACAATGCAGTCTTTACATTTCATGGAAGGAGAATGTTACCCTCCCACCACGTTCAAGTGGAACCATCTATGGATCAGATTCCTCAATTTGTGAAATTAAGACCACACAACTGGTAAAGAATCTTAAGGATCTACAGGCTTCACTGCAAGAAAAAAAAAGAAAAGGAATAAAAACATCCTAGTAACTTTTTAGTAAATTCCTTTACTCCTCAAGTTAGCAGGAGAGACGTAATACATTTCATCTCTCAACGTAGATGGCTTTGATAATTTACTTCAAGCAGGATCAGACATTTTTTTTTACTTGTATCGATTGGTCTTGTACAGATTTATAGATTTTTATATTTAAAGAACAATATATTCTATGTAAGTAACATGGATTTAGATATAAAAATTCTGCTTGGCTCTTCTAAGATTATTTCTCCGAGCTTCTCACATACCTAATCTCCAGATAAGAAGGATCTAATAAAAATGAATGTCAAAAATATGAGGGCCCTTCATTGCATCACTTTTGTAACACTCAATAATTCATCCAATCAATTTTGATTAGGGTTGAAGTTCTGATTTCACTCTGATAAGAATGGATTTGCAATTCACAATTCCAGCAGAAAGAACAACCTGGAGCTAATTATCTCTAAGAATGACAGTATTACACACCAAGCCCTGTGAGTCTTCAAGGCCTAGCTAGTTCACAAAACATCTTTAATTTGTTTACTATACAAGTACTTTATTGATGTACCAGCACTCTTCAATATCAAAATATTGACGCAAAAGGTAGCCCTGTCTTCATATAAAATATAATTCATTATGGATCTTCCAGAATAAAAATCTATCCTAAAACAGTTGCTAAATGAACTTATTATGACAGCTTGTGTGTGTTTATTTGTGTAAACTCAATATAACATTTTGGCAAAATATATATTGAACTATCCATCCTAAACATAATCTAATAGGGCTGTTTTCTTCTTGAGATTACTTCTGCAACAAGTTAGCAAAACTATAGCAGAGATGGCCAGTTTTATTAGTACATCAAAAAATAGACCTATCAGAATAAACTTTTGGCCTGAATTCCTCATGTTATGTATTTAAATATTTAGACTAGGACTGGTCACTTCTAGATGTAATTCTTCCAAGGGTTCATATTTTTTTTGACTTGGCCTGGGAAGAGATAGAATTAAATATACAAGGAAAATTTAAGTAAGTTTTGTTAACGTGTAATTCAATTTGATTAGAACAACAATTATTAAGCCAACACTTTACTTAGACATCTATACCCTGATTACAGAATGTGAATTGCAGCCATAATGCAAGAAAATTATATGACTATAATAACAAGGAGCACAGTGGCTTAAAATTTTAAGCTAATATGGGCTGTGAACATGTCATATACATTTTTGTGCCTTGAGCACTTGGATCAGTCCTTGGAACACATCTGACACTCTACAAGTGTTTTAAAATTTTATTTAATCTGAAAAGAATGAAGAAGGAATGAGTTCTGGTGTTCTATTGCACAGTAGGATGACAATAGTTTACAGTAAGATTTAGCAAATTACAAAATAGCTAGATGAGAGGTTTTTGAATGTCTTCACCATAAAAAAAAAAGATAAATGAATGAAGTACTGGTAACACTGCCCCAATATGATCATTATACTAAATATATAGATATGTGTGTGTGTCTGTGTGTGTGTGTGTGTATTGAAACATCAAATTGTACCCCCCCACTTTTTTTTTTATTTTTGAGACAAAGTCTCACTCTGTCACCCAGGCTGGAGTGCAGTGGTATGATCTCGGTTCACTGCAACCTTCACCTCCCACGTTGAAGCGATTCTCCTGCCTCAGCCTCCCAAGTAGCTGGGATTACAGAGGCACACGCCACCATACCCAACTAATTTTTGTATTTTTAGTAGAGATGGGGTTTCACAATATTACCCAAGCTGGTCTTGAACTCCTTGGCTCTAGTGATCTGCCCACCTTGGCATCCCAAAGTGCTAGGATTACAGGTGTGAGCCACTGTGCCCCGCCAATTGTATCCTTTAAGTATGTACAATTACAATACTTTAAAAAAAGAAAAAAGAATAAAGGCAGTACAAGTTTGTATGACCAAAGCATAGTGTATAATCCTCTAAGATTTATAGACATTAGGGTTCTTAAGCCCTCACAGGCTCTACCAAAAGCTACTTGTTTGTTTCATAAGAGAAAATATTGGCCTAAAATAACCCTTGTGAAACTATCCGAAACTATCCGAAATATGGCAGCAAAGGGTAATACTCTCATACAAATTCTGATTGTTTATATTTTTTTCATTATTTTCTAGGATCCTCAAAACAATCGGATTTTTCAATGGCAAAATGTGACTTCTTTCCGAAATATTACCCAACTCTCGTTCCAACTGATTTCAGAA
This sequence comes from Homo sapiens, assembly GCF_000001405.40. Taxonomy (NCBI): domain Eukaryota; kingdom Metazoa; phylum Chordata; class Mammalia; order Primates; family Hominidae; genus Homo; species Homo sapiens. The sequence goes on along the minus strand of NC_000012.12, from coordinate 31,158,967 downwards.
CCAATGTTTGGAGATTACTGGATTGTTGTGAAAAGAAACTCAAGGAAGACAGTGACACACCAATTTGCTGTTAAAAGATATGGTAACCAGTTGCTATTTGTAGCTGTCCTATGTAGATGAAGAGTTTAAAGGATGGACCAACACAACATTTGTGTTAGACTTAGGCAGGAGTAGGTGAAGCTAGAACTGGTTTTCTTTGTCTCCCTTCCTTGACCTGGTTGGCTTTGTCATCAGCACTTTGCTGCTCCTCACTCCTTCCCCAGTATCCTTATTCTGATTCCTGCCTTCTTTTTCCCCCTAGAAAATATACATTTTTTCTAGAATCCCCACAGTCTTCTAGGAGAGATCTAAGAGATTGCAATAGAAAGAAAATGTGAGGCCGGGTGTGGTGGCTCACGCCTGTAATCCCAGCACTTTGAGAGACTGAGGTGAGTGGATCATGAGGTCAGGAGTTGGAGACCAGCCTCACCAACATGGTGAAACCCAGTCTCTACTAAAAATACAAAAATTAGCCCAGCGTGGTCGTGCATGCCTGTAATCCCAGCTACTCGGGAGGCTGAGGCAGGAGAATGGCTTGAACCCTGTAGGCAGAGGTTGCAGTGAGCCAAGATTGCACCACTGCACTCCAGCCTGGGCAACAGAGTGAAACTCCGTCTCAAACAAACAAACAAAAAGAAACAAAATGTGAAATTCTGAGGATAGGGAAAAGAAAAGAAAGAGGAAGAATTAATCATTAGTGAGACACCACCATGTAGAATGGTGCCACACAATTTGGGGCAAATGATACATAGCTCATACAGATGGAGGGTACAAGGAATCATAGTAAGCTATATGACTGCAATAAGGTTTGCTTGCCTGTGATTGTGCAGGCTAACGTATATTTCTCTTCGTTTCCAGTGCTGCCCAAGTTTGAAGTTACGGTCAATGCACCACAAACAGTAACTATTTCAGATGATGAATTCCAAGTGGATGTATGTGCTAAGTGAGTATTTCTTCAGGAGATTTACCTTCACAAGAAAACACAAAGCTCAGAGAGAATGAGAAGTGAGATTAACCATGAAACTTTAATTATTTATATGCTTACATTAATGTTATTAGAGAAGCAATGAATCCTCACTGTAGAAAATTTGAAAAATATAGAGAAAAACACAAGACATTACCTATTATTAATTTGACCAACTGCCATTAACATTGTAATGTCACTAACATTGTAAGTTTCCTCTAATTTTAATGAATATTTTCCATGACTGCAATCATACTTTTCTATTTATAATAATTAAGAAAACATGCCTACGTATTATGCCAATCTTTTCATGAATTCCAATTTTCTGCTGCACATATTTTTATGTGACTATACCCAATTTAATTATTTTATTATATAATATGTTGGCTGTTTCATTTTGTTTTCCTGGTAATTAATAATTTTGCAGTATATGTCTTTGTGTATAACATATAATAGGTAGCTTTTGAATGAAAAATTGTTTACTTAAGAAAGATTTCCAGAAAAGGAATTACCAAGACAAAATATGTAACATTCTTTTAGTCTTCTGATTGCCATACTCCTCACTAAACATGTTGTGCCAGTGTAGGATTCTAGCAGCTGGTGTGAAATTCTCATTGAATCTTTACTATCATGGCATATTTTCATTAAAATTAGAATATGAGCTATTGAAATGGCAAAGTGAAGACAAAGCATCTTATCAAGTTAATCTGAATTATTTGAATTCTCTTAATGTAAAAAAAATACACGATTTCAGAAATTTGTATTTTGTTTTTGGAAAATTATTTTTAATTTTTTTTTCTTTTTTAGTGCCTTTTCTCGAATTTCTAATAATAATTTATAAACAATTGGCCAGGCACGGTGGCTCACACCTGTAATGCCAGCATTTTGGGAGGCCAAGGTGGGGGAGGGATCATCCGAGGTCAGGAGATCGAGACCAGCCTGGCCAACATAGCGAAACCCCGTCTCTACTAAAAATACAAAAAATTAGACGGGCATGGTGGCAGGCACCAGTAATCTCAGCTACTGGGGAGGCTGAGGCAGGAGAATTGCTTGCACCCAGGAAGCAGAGGTTGCAGTGAGCCGAGATCATGCCACCTCACTGCAGCCTGGGCAACTGAGTGAAACTCTGTCTCAGAAAAAAATAAAATAAAATAAAAAATAAAATAAATGTTTTTTGAATGTCAACTAGTTTGTTAAGCTCTGCATATATCATTACCACAGTGCTATGAGATAGGAGCTATTGTCATCTGTATTTTATAAAGAAAGATAATAAGACACAGAGAATTAAAATAACTTATCAACAGTAATGGAGCTTGTTGATGGCAGAACTAGGATTTAGACCTAGGTTTTTCAGCTTCAAAGCTACTCTCCTAATCAATAACTGTCATATACTTTATAAAAACAGTTAACAATATTAATATTTGCCATATTTGTTAAGCACTTTGTTTAATTTATGACATGAAAATTACTTGCCTTTGAGTATTTCCAGCAGTCTATTAAAGATACATTGATTAAAGGGCTGTCTAATGAACGTGCAAGCGTGGTTCTTAAGATGCCTTTGATGCCCCAGAGAATCTTGCAAACCAGTTTTCAGCCTTCTTTTTTTTTTTTCAGTAGCATTTCAAATCTTCTTTTGACTTTAGGAAATGATTATAAATTTTTTTCTAAGTTTTAATGAAGAGTAGTTGAAAATACCAGAATTTAATATACGTAATAGATGAGAGACTGTGTAGATCACTGATGTTAAAAATGATGAGGTGATAAATTCAAGTTGGAAGAAATCCAGAATACTAAACAGGTTTCACTAGAAAAGCCAAACGCAAAGCCAGAGCTTTCAGTGGCATTAACATCTCATTTATTTATCTGCACGATAGTATGCTAAAAACAAAACCCACAACACATTGGAAGAACAAAAATGTTTCTCAAGCATGGCCTTTGGAAAATACTTGCAAACCACATGCTAACATGGAACTGGTAGTTCCTTAGCAGTATGTCAGGTTACAATCCATGATCCTGATTTCTTGAAATTTCTTTGATATTGTATTCTGGATAGAGTTACATAGGAGTAAATCAGTATCAGCAATAATAATATCTTGCCAGGAGACCAGGCAGCTAGACTGGAGCTGTGCTTGCTACAAAGTTATTTCTGGGCAGATTGTGAGAGCACTGTTTCTAGAAGGTTCACGTCAGTTGTATACTGTGTCTCAAATTGTATGATACTGTGTCTGTGTTTCTTTAGTCTTTTCTGGGATTTAGCTTGGAATGACTAGAGAAAACAAGAAAAAAATTGGATTATTTTAGCAAACAAAGTCAGAGATGACTTAGGCTTTTAAGAGGGAAGAAAATTTACCTACAGACAAAGAGATTTTAATACACTGCATTAGCATTCACTGAAAGCTTTTCAAATCACAAAGGGATTATTCTGTCCTGTTTTTAAAATTTAAGCTACATGTCTTATAGGCATATGTTAGCTTACAGATAATACTACAATAAGACTTTTATTGTATAAATAAAAGACATTAAGTAGAAATAAGAAGAAATGTTCAGGTATAATATGTGTGGCCAGATCTAAGTCTGGCCTTTATATAATCATGATTTTATTGGTATGATTTGACTCAGAATCTCAAAAGTGTTAGGAATTTTTAAATAGAAAGAGAAAAAGGTGAGTGGAAAGAAAAGGGCACGGGCTATGGAGTGAGGTAGATCTGAGTTCGAATTTTAGTTTCATTAATTACAATGTGGAGAAGTTACTTGACCTCATTTTACAAATCAGGGTCACTGGGAAAAATAAATGATATATATCAGTGTCCAACAATTAGAAAAAAGTATTATAATCTGTGAAAATAATATTCACTTTTATTATATGCTAGTTTTACATTTGTTGTCTATTAACAAAACAAAAAACTCCAATTGACTGGATTTGCCTTTGGTTGAACCTTTAAAATCTTGTGTTGTAGTTTTGTGTTTTAGGAGAAAATGAGATACTCAAACCCACCCTGTAAGGTATTATATTTTTGGTCAAAGCATAACCAGTTCATGCCAGCCCCATAGCCTTTATATTTATTGAGTGGTAAATAAAAATTCGTGTTTAAAATGTTGATCTGGAAATGTTTCAGGATCCTGAATCATCCAAGTTTTATATACATATATATTTTTCTGATAAAAGGGAAAGTGCTGCAATGTTATGATGTTTCTATCAGATTAAAATATATTTTTAAAAAACTCAATTTAAGCATTAAATCATATTCAATGAGATTTTAGATTATTTTAGATTCTGCCTTACCCTGAATTCAATTTTTTAAAGGCAGCCAAATCCTCCTGAGATCAAATGCCCAGTTTAACCTGAATTCTGTGGGGAACCTAAACCCTCACCAATAGGGAGAATTCCTAATTCAATTTGGTTAGACTGGGTTACTCACAGTTTAGAGACTTCCTATATAATTTCTGAAGAAGATCATAAAATATTGCTATGATATTGCTTATCTGTAATCATAACTACACCTTCCCCCATGAGGTACACCTTTGGCCAACCTGTGCAAGGGAAAACCCAAATCCGGGTGTGCAGAGAGTATTTTTCTTCAAGCAATTGTGAGAAAAATGACAATGAAATATGTGAGCAATTTATTGCACAGGTACAGACCATGATCTTTACTCCAAAAAAAAGTTCTCACTCATTTTTCATTCTTATTCTTTCTTTGATTTCATTTATAAGGGGAGCTTAACAATACTATTTTCATTTTATTGATAATGGAGTTTGCAGCTAAATAAAGTGAAGAAAGAGAAGAAAATACAGTGCTTAAAGCAGTTTTTTATTCCATAGACCATGTAAATTGTTCTCCACCTATAGATTCATGGGATTTTTAGAATATGAAAGGTATCGTGGGCTTTGTTGTTTTATATATCGCCTAGGTAGCCTTCCTGATTTTTCTTTGGAGAATCGTTAATCATCCTTTAAATGAGTCTGTGATATTACTCTCCATGCCACCTGGATTTTTTTTAGTGGAAACAGCTTACTTTCAATCAACTGCAATTCAGAGTACCCCCACTATGTTACTTTAGACTTGCAGTTCATATGTGAAGTCATCATTTGCTCTATCTGCAGCATCCTAACCTTAAGTGAACAGCTCTTCCTATCTCTTTGAAATTGTCTTTTGACTCCCCAAAGTGAAGCTTGTGTATGCCACATAGTTCATATTTTAAGTCCAATTGTCCTAAAGTTACTCATCAAATTTAGTGAACATCCTCTAGGTAAATATCAATAATTGACAAAGACAAGCAGAATCCTACCTTTACATAGGAAATGCAGGCAAAGAAAACTAGGGTGGAATTTTTCCATGTCAGCAGTACATTCTGATAGAGTTCAGTCAACCGTTTTACACAGTGATGGGTGTTCCCTCAGCAAATGGTTTACTTTTTTCCCCATGTGAAAAAAATACCAATAAACAATCTGGTAGAGGCTAGGAGCAGTGGCTCACACCTCTAATCTGAGCATGTTGGAAGGCTGAGGCGGGAGGATCGTTTGATTCCAGGAGATCGAAACCAGCCTGCGCAACATAGTGAGCCCCTTCTCTACAAAAATTAGCCAGGCACAGTGGTGCACATCTGTGGTCCCAGCTACAGGGAGGCTGAGGCAAAAGAATCACTGGAGCCCAGGAGGTCAAGGCTGCAGTGAAGTGTGTTCGCACCACTGTACTCGAGCCTGGGCAACAGAGCAAGACCTGCCTCAGAAAAAGAAAAAAAAAAAAATCTGTCCGGTGGAACTATCTTTATATATGAGAGGCTTTATTTACTTGAAATAAATTTCTTAGAGTGAGTTTCCTGAGTCAAAGGAAATATAGATAATGTTCATAGACAGATAATTTTAATTTTAATAAATATTAGCATATTGCTCTCCTAAAAGTTTTAGGCATTCAAATTCCTGTCAGAAGTACATGAGAATACTATATTTTCCAAATTACTTTCAGCAATATATTTAGAAGTTTTAAAAGTTTTTGTCATTTTGATAGACACAAATTTAGCTTGTTTTAACTTGTGCTATCTAATTTCGATTTAGTTTGAGCAACTTTTCATATTTTTGTTATCAATTTGGATTTGAGAACTCTTAATTACCCATGTTTTTCTGTTCATGTGAAATGGAAACTTTCAGGTAAGTACTGCCTTCCATCCTACAAGCATTTTTTTTCAAGCCTGTTATTTAAATAGGCAACTCATTTACTTTGTCATATTTTTGACATACCCACCTTCCTTATGTTCCTGGGTTTCCAGCCTTAGAAAAAAAATCTCACTGGCCCCTGTGTTGTACATGTGGCTATCTAAGTATGCTCTTAAGATTGTTTACAATTTTCTAATAGACATAAAGTTCACTTCCAATGATGTTCTAAAATGGGAATTTTTCTTCCAGATGTGGGCTGTGTTGTGTTAGCACCTATCTCACAATTTTGTTCTCTCTCACTCTTTGTCCTAAATCATGCCCACGAAAGTTTCGTCTATTTTATTGGTTCTTATTTTTACTATTTTCTTTCTTTTATTATTTTGTGTTCCTAAATAATTTATTTTCTCTTTCATCTTATTAATTCTTTTTCCTAATATTTGTAGTTGATTTTGTTGGGGTTTAAAAAATATATTAGCTGTTTCTTTTAGTAATAAGCACATTCACTGTTTTACATTTCTTCTGAACTGCAGCTGAATACCATTGACTTTGATGCGAAGTATTTTTTCATTACTCTAATATCTGGATTCTTATTGGTTTACTTTATGTATTCTCTTTGTTTCAAGGATTCCTGAAAAAAGGCTTTTCTCTTATTTTCGAAATAATTAAGGTTCTTCTGATCACTTTCTATGATTTCATTTTAATTTGACTATATTATCATTAGACAAAATAAAATTGCTTTTGTTGTTGATGTAATGGCTGTTAATTTAAGATAGAGAAGCACATACTCTGGAGCCAGAGCAGCTCCTCAGCACCACCGTCTCTTAGCTGTGAGATCTTGGACAGGTTACATGATGGACCTAGTTTAGTTTCTTCATCTATATAGTAAGATAATAACAGTACCTAGCTCATGTAATAGTTTTGAGTATCAAATAAACTAATATATCCTTATAACATTTTAAATCTGGAATAAACACTGTGTTATAAAATATAACTAAATTTATATTTCTCTAATTATTATTACTGATGATAGATTAACTATAGATTTTTTGTTATTTTAAATAAGCAATATACCTTAAAAAGTGTTTGTTTTGTTGTTACACATGTGCTGAGCGCTTCTGTTCCATCTGTTTTAGTGCCTTTCTAGATGATTAGAATTTCTTCCTCTTAAAACACTGTGAACCAAAAGTATCTGAGACAGATGTCAATCAATTTGCAAAGCTTATGTTGCCAAGGTGAAGGATGTACCTATGACAGCCTCCAGAGGTCCTACCAACATGTGCCCAAGGTGGTTGGGCTACAGCTTGCTTTTATACATTTCAGGGAGATGTGAGACATCAACAAATATGTGTAAGATGTACATTGGTTCGGTCCAGAAAGGCAGGACAATCCAAACTAAGGGGGTTTCCAGGTCATAGGTAGATAAGAGACAAACAGTTGCATAAAGAAGAAGTCTTTGAGGCCAGGTGCAGTGATTCACAGCTGTAATCCCAGCACTTTGGGAGGCCGAGGCGGGCAGATCACGTGAGGTCAGGAGATCGAGACCAGCCTGACCAACGTGGAGAAACCCCATCTCTACTAAAAATACAAAAATTAGCCAGGCGTGGTGGCAGGTGTCTGTAATCCCAGCTACTTGAGAGACTGATGCAGGAGAATCGCTTGAACCTGGGAGGCGGAGGTTGCAGTGAGTCAAGATTGGGCTATTTCACCCCAGCCCGAGTGACAGAGCAAGGCTCTATCTAAAAAAAAAAAAAAAAAAAAAAAAGAATAAGTCTTTGTCTTTGATCAGCCTTTCACTGAATACACAAATTACATGTGAGAGGAGGATAGAGGAATAGTCACTCCTGCCTTAGTGTGGCTCAGTAAATCTGCATTTTTACATAAACTATTAGGCAGAGGAAGCAATCAGATAAATCAGATATGTATTTGTCTCAGGTAAGCAGAGGGATGACTGAGTCTGTCTTTTGTCCCACGCCTGTAAAGATAAGCTATGAATTTATATTGCCAGGGTGAATTTCCAAAGAACTGTTTTAAGGAAAAGTTCTTGAGGCCCACAAAGAATTTCCTTGTGGGCAAATTGTGAGGGAGGTATGTAGTTTTTATCTTTGTAGCTACCTTATTTGGGAATAAAATGGGAGACAGATTTGCCCAGCTGTTCCCAGCTTGCCCTTTCCCTTTAGCTTAGGGATGTTGGGCTCCTGAGATTTACTTTCCTTTCACAATACCATTCAGCTTCATTTCCATCCTTTAATCTTTTCTCATCTACAATGTTTCCAGGAGAATTTCCTTGAAATCTGTAAAATACAGATTACCTCCTTCCGTTATTTAAAATGCTGATGTAAATATTCGCCTCCTCCTACTCCTCCTCTAATTCTTTGGCCATTTCAACAAGTTTATGAGGTAGAGCCGTGGCACGGGGTGGGGATGTTAATATATTTGTGCAAAAACCATATTTTAAAAGACACTTAAAAAAACCTCTTGGATCTCTAACATTTTAATTATACCTTCTCTTTATTTTTCAGTTGGAAAATGGTTGTGTTTCTCAAATTGTAAATACAAAAGTCTTCCAACTCTACCGTTCGGGATTGTTCATGACATTTCATGTCGCTGTAATTGTTACAGAATTTGGGACAGGAAATTACTGTATTTTTTGGACGACCTGGGGATATATGTATGGCAACTTACTGGGAGAAGCTTGTTGAGTTAGCACTAAGTACAAAATTCAGATTATTTCTAATTTAATACAACTGGGAATAGTTGCAAGTGCAAAAATTATTACTGAAAAATTTACAAGATTGCACAAAGTGAGTGTTCAATAAGTATTTGTTAAAAGAATGAAAGAAGAGGCCGGGCACGGTGGCTCACGCCTGTAATCCCAGCACTTTGGGAGGCCAAGGCAGGTGGATCACCTGAGGTCAGGAGTTCAAAATCAGCCTGGCCAGCATGGTGAAACCCTGTCTCTACAAAAATACAAAAAATTAGCTGGGCATGATGGTGAATGCCTGTAATCCCAGCTACTCGGGAGGCTGAGGCAGGAGAATCGCTTGAACCCGGGAGGCGGAGGTTGCAGTGAGCTGAGATTGCACTATTGCACTCCAGCCTCCAGCCTGGGTGACACATCAAGACTCAGTCTCAAAAAAAAAAAAAAAAAAAAACCAGAAAGAAGGGAGAAAGAGATTATTTAATTTGGAGTGGGAAAATCAGATTTAACTACTAATTATTTCTTGTTATTTAAAAAGGAGTTTGTGATTATGCCATTGTAAAGTGCTCTATATAAGCATACTTGATCAATATCATGATGCTATTCACACTGGGCAAGCTGGTCACATTTATATTGCTGTGGATGGTAACTTAGATATTTTCACTCTGCTGTGTTCATCATTCCTTACAGGTATGCAGATCAGTGAGAAGACCTCAGTTTTTATCACTCAATTGCTTGGAACTGTAAACTTTGAGAACATGGATACTTTCTACAGAAGAGGGATTTCTTATTTTGGAACTGTAGGTTTGACTAAAGAATACATGCTTCCATTTCATTTTCTTGGATCATAGATTGCCCTTTGAAAATTTCTGGTCACTTTTTTCCTACTTTTGTAATACATTTTAAGCACTACTATGTCTGAGGTGCTAGAAAGTGTCCTAGATTGAAAGAAGCAATAGATAACAGTATCATTTTTTCCATACTTTATATTATATATCTATGTATTTAATAGAGCATCTTTCTGTCTGTTGGAATTTAGGAAAATGACTAGGGATCACATTTATGAGTAGAAAACTATTTCTCTGTAAAAATGTAAACATTTTGTGTTTTAAGTCATATTAATTATTCTTTTCTTGTACAGCTTAAATTTTCGGATCCCAATAATGTACCTATGGTGAACAAGTTGTTGCAACTGGAGCTCAATGATGAATTTATAGGAAATTATACTACGGACGAGAATGGCGAAGCTCAATTTTCCATTGACACTTCAGACATATTTGATCCAGAGTTCAACCTAAAAGTAAGACATCAAAGAACAGAAGAAGACCATTAGACATCCCACAGAGGATTTGGATATCAGAAATGTTAAACATTAGGAATATCTCAAAAGATAGCTTGTATACAGAATCTATTTTAAAGAAAATTTAAAATGTAACTTATTTTATAAATTTGCTTGTTCACTAAATAATACATGAGAATACTTGTTCAAGGGGATGGGAAGCTAAAAGTCTATCACGATTGTTATAAATTTGCTAACAACTAATATTTTCCTCTAGGAAACAAGAAGTAGCTCATGAGGATGATTTGACTTTCTTCCTCAGATCATTTCATGCATAGATAGGGGAGATCCTATACTTTCTGTTTATTTTCCGCTGCTTAAACAGAATTTTGCAGTTAAATAATTTGTCAGTGTTCACATGTAGCTGAAAGAAACAGAACTGAAACCCAATTCTGTGGCTTCAATTAAAGTGTAAAAAACATAACAATTCACCATCAGTCTAATGAAATATTTACACAATCTTTCATGGTCACGTTTTGTATACAAAGAGCAGAGTGCTATTATTATTTTGATTCCAATAACTTAACATTAAAACGTCAGCCACAAGCTGAGATTCCTCCCTACTCTGGAGAGTTGAGAAGCCTCCATTCTCAGTAACAACTGTCTTCGGATGTCATGATACTAAGACCCTTCACTTTCTTTTGTCATCTCAGGCCACATATGTTCGACCTAAGAGCTGCTATCTTCCCAGCTGGTTGACGCCTCAGTACTTGGATGCTCACTTCTTAGTCTCACGCTTTTACTCCCGAACGAACAGCTTCCTGAAGATTGTTCCAGAACCAAAGCAGCTTGAATGTAATCACCAGAAGGTTGTTACTGTGCATTACTCCCTAAACAGTGAAGCATATGAGGATGATTCCAATGTAAAGTTCTTCTATTTGGTAAGTCTCAGTCAGTGGGTTCCTGGAATCCTGTTCAATTGCACGTCTGCTTAGCCCAGCACAGCTTAGAAATCATGCATCAGTCATGCCACGGTGACCAGAGTAAGGGCAGCCTTCTCACTTTGCTGGTGAATACTGTTCGATCCATTAACAACAAACAAACACATAGAACGATCTAAGGCAATTAAAGTTTCCCTAAGGTTGAAGAACTTGCTGTTCAGAGTCCACTTGTTTAAGCATTCAAATGTAACTCATATCAAGTATTTATGACACTTTGTAATAGTAAAATATTGGGCAGATGCCAGAAAGTAAGGTGGAAAGCTTATGTTGATAAGCAGTAAAAGGACTTTATTCTCTTGGTTCTGTCCATTTTGTCTTTCTAAGGAGGAGCCCCCAACCTTTGTGGCACCAGGGACTGGCTTCATGGAAGACAATTTTTCCACAGATGGGGTGGGGATGGTGGGATGGCTTCAGGATGATTCAAGCATATTACATTTATTGTTCACTTTATTTCTATTATTATTACATACTCACCATAATGTGGAATCAGTAAGAACCCTGTGCTTGTTTTCCTGCAGCTAGATGGTCCTATCTGTTGGTGATGGGAGACAGTGACAGATTTTTAGGCATTAGATTCTCATAAGGAGCGCACAACCTAGATCCCTCACACGTGCAGTTCACACCAGGGCTTGTGCTCCTATGAGAATCTAATACCACTGCTGATCTGACAGGAGCTCAGGTGGTAATGCTTGCTCACCGCACTGCTCACCTCCTGCTGTGTGGCCTAGTACCTGACAGGCCATGGATACGTACCTGCCGGTACACAGCCTGGGGACTGGGGCCTTCTGCTCTAAGGCCTGTTGAAGAGTGATAAGACACAGACCTGGAAATTAAGACATTAACTTGAATCCCCCACCCTCTCCTAGTTAGCATGCAAGTTAGTGCATCTTGGACGGATTGTTTGAACTCTTTAACCCTTGGCTTCCTCAGGTGTACAGTGTAATTGGAGATTATAAGACTTACCTCTTAGGGTAAGTGTTCTGTGTCAGGCACTGTTATAAAGATTGTATATGTGTTAACTCATTTAATTAGCCTTATAGATATCTCCATTTTACAGATAATGGAACAGAGGCAAACAGGTAAAACATCATGTTTTAAGTCACAAAGTTAATGAGCAGGTGAAGGCGTATTTGAAACCGGACAGCCTTGACAATTTCAGAGCTTTATGTGCCACTTTGCACAGTGCATTGCACATAGTTCACAAAGTTTCCAGTACATGATAGAATCTCAATCAGTTTTAGTCACTTTCTCTGCTCTTTTCCAACTTACGCAAAGTCTATTTTTAATATTTGCTTGTGGAAGCTACCCTATCTTATGGAACAGAATTACCATTAAGTAATGAATTACCTAATCTCAATATGAGAATATGATGACATCAGATAATATATTGCATGTTATGTTTTCTTTGTTCCACACAGATGATGGTAAAAGGAGCTATCTTACTCAGTGGACAAAAGGAAATCAGAAACAAAGGTATACATAATGTATTCATTTTAAAATATGTGCTCTAACTTCATTTTTTCTTGTTAAGGATATATAGACATTATATATATGGGGATTATATATATTAAGAAAATATATTTATATATAGTCAAACATATATGTGTGTGTGTATATATATATGTGTGTATATATGTATGTGTATATATATATAGTGAAAAGAAGAACGAGCACTTATTTCAATTTGTGGATGAAGGGAATAGTTAGCACAGCCTGAGGGAAGCTACTAAATGTCCTGATGAAGGAGAGTTCTACTGTTTCTTTTATTGTCAGATCATTGAGTACATTAGAAAAGTGGTGTACAACCGCATATTCTCACTCATAGGTGGGAATTGAACGGTGAGAACACATGGACACAGGAAGGGGAACATCATACTCTGAGGACTGTTGTGGGGTGGGGGGATGGTGGAGGGATAGCATTGGGAGATATACCTAATGCTAGATGACGAGTTAGTGGGTGCAGCGCACCAGCATGGCACATGTATACATATGTAACTAACCTGCACATTGTGCACATGTACCCTAAAACTTAAAGAATAATAATAATAATAAATAAAAAATAAAAAAAAGAAAAGTGGTGTACAAAATCCCAGTATTGTTATTATCTAAATTATGCAGTCTTCTTTATTTGTGTATGTACTTCCTATTATTTGATTTATTTGTCTTGAAAACAGGGCCCAATTTACTCTTTCTGTCCATGAGCTATTCTCTTTTATCTAAGTGTACCAGTGATTCAGGAAACTTTCAGCATCGTATCTCTTCGTCTCCTATTTACACAGCCTGGAATGGAAACTTCTCGTTCCCACTCAGCATCAGTGCTGATCTGGCTCCTGCAGCCGTCCTGTTTGTCTACACCCTTCACCCCAGTGGGGAAATTGTGGCTGACAGTGTCAGATTCCAGGTTGACAAGTGCTTTAAACACAAGGTGATGTTTCTCCTATTTCTGGCCTGAGAAGTGGGAACAGTTTGCTCCCTGCTGTCTTCTCGCCTGACTGCTATCACCTTCACGTGGGAAACTTACACTCAGTGCTGGCATAATTGAATTATTAGGGGATGTGAGAATCACCAAACACAATGCATGATCCTTGGCAGCAGTGCCAATCCTGAGACGGCAGCACGTGGTGAAGGGGGTCTCCTGCAAAGAAAGCTGAGGGTGAGAGTGGGCAAAGGAAATACCGTATAGAAATCTATAAGGATTTATTCAGGAGAGATTAAATGTATTCAGATCATCTTTACATAAAATGGTCTCTACTCTCATCTCTTTTTTTTCTCTACTTTAGGTTAACATAAAGTTCTCTAACGAGCAGGGCTTACCTGGTTCCAATGCTAGTCTCTATCTTCAAGCGGCGCCTGTCTTATTCTGTGCCCTCGGGGCTGTGGATGGGAACGTCCTTCTACTGAAATCTGAACAACAGCTGTCAGCTGAAAGTGTAAGCTCTCTGACTTCCTCGTTTTTCATGTTTCTCTGGACTACCAGAAGTCTTATCCTTCAGATGATGTCTTGAACATGTTGAAAATATTGAATGTTTTCTTCCTTTGTTCCTTCGTGGATTATATACGTATTTTTCTTGGCTATCCTAAGAGCATGCTTATAACAATACAGAATTTGATAGATAATTATAACAGTTTAGGAATTTTACAACTGTGATTTTTAAAAATCATAGGTGTAATCACAGAAGTGGAAACTTGGAATAAAATGAAATCTCTATGTTCAAGGATATGCTTGGATTCAGTGTAAAGTTATTATCTATAAATGGATATTGTATTTTCTTAAACATTTCCAGACCTGGAATTCCAGAAGTTCACATCCAATTTATTTCGCTTAACAATTGTTGGATATTTTCCGTTTATTTCTAACACAATTACATATAAATAACTATTGAAATTTATGATCATATTTAAATCTAATTTAAATTGTGTACTTTGTGCAAAGTATACAAAGACATAAAGAAGGAAATCTTTAAAATCATTTATAGTCCTAACACTTAGGCATCTTTATAGTTTTGCTGTAATTTTTCAAGTCTCTTTTCTGAAGGCATATATATTTTACAAACTTGAGATCTCACCAAAAAATAGTTTTGTATTTTGCTTTCAACATTCTGTAGTAAGTCCAGTTTTAAGTATAAAATTATAGAATTCAGTAATAATATTGAATAACTATAGATCATTATATAAAACATTTTTCTCAATGCAAAACATAAATACATTTAAGTTTTCTATTACAGGGAGCAAAAATACTTTTAGTTAGAAGCTTTCAGAATCTGAGGGGACATCAACAAATAAAGGATAAATTTATCTATAAATATGGAATATGGCCATGTGCTGTGCTCACGCCTGTAATCCCAGCACTTTGGGAGGCCAAGGCGGGCAGATCGTTTGTGCTCACGAGGTCGAGACCAGCCTGCACAACATGATGAGACTCTGTCTCCCCCGAAAATATAAAAAATGAGCAGGGCACAGTGGTGTGCACCTGTGATCTCAGAAACTTGGGAGATTGACATGGGAGGATCACTTGAGCCCTGGCGGGGGCAGAGGTTGCAGTGAACCAAGATCGTGCCACTACACTCCATCCTGGGTGACAGAGCGAGACCCTGTCTCAAAGAAAAAAAAGGAATATGTATATATATATGTGTGTGTGTGTGTGTGTGTGTACATATATATGTTTATATATGTACACACACACACACTCCTTTTTTTTCCCTTGAGAGTTTCATGGATTCAGAGTAAATAGCTTCTGCTCATTCTTTCTACAGTTGGAGGTGGCAATATCTTAGGAAAACTGCCTCAAGAAAAGACCATCAAGGGACCTCAAAAAGAAAATTCTAGAGGCATTATTCAGGGGTCTCAGAATATATCAGAGCCAAAAGAGGTTGCCCTTGTTTATTATTGATAGCTATATTAATAGTATAAATCAAGTGAAGTTCTATAAATGAGTGAATTCCAATTTATATTCTATAAGTTTATGTTATTTTTTGTATTATCTATGTAAGCTTAGTTTTTAGTTTTAAATAATTTTTAAAAGTGCAAGAATTACACAGAGAACTCCCGTAGACCCTTGGCCTGATTCACCAGTTTGTGAACATTTCACCGTACTTGTTTTCTCTTTCTCACTCTCTCCACCCCTACACACACACACATACATACACACACACACACACACACACACAGAGTTTATGCCATTTCAGTTTTTTCTGAATCATTTGAGACTAGGTTACATACATCAGTCTATTGTGAAAGAAAAATACAAACAACTCCGGACCCCAATTCACGATGCTAAAAGGACAAAAAATGAGGCTGAAAACTGAGTCATGGAAGAAGTTGTTTTTCTTTTGTTCCTAAGCAGATAGCTACTTTTTCTTCCTTGTTAGATTAGTTGGTGGTTTACCTATTTTGCCGAGTTTTCCAAAAACATATAATTTTAATTTATTAATGTGATGTAATATGATGTGAGGTTTTTTGCTACTCCATCACATTAATTTCTATTTTTATCTTTATTATTTCCTTACTGGTGCTGTATTTTGTTGTTATTTTTAGCTTTTTCACTTAGAAATTTACTTCATTTTCATTAATTTATTTTATTGGGCTAGGTGTTTTTAAGCCTATAAGTTTTTCCATGATTTCTACTTTTGAAGTATCTCATAGATCCTGATACATAGCAATTGCACCATTTTTATTTTTCAGAAATTCCGTAATTTCTGTTTGTATTAACCCTTTCACTGAAAATTTACTTACTGGAGTACTTTATAATTTTCATATAAAAAGGAATTTATTTTAGAGTTTTCTTTTAAATTTCAAGTTCTATATCTTCATGGCCAGCAATATTTCCACCGGTATATTTTTGTGCCCAAATATATAATGAGTTTTTGCGAATATATCTCATGTGTTGAGAAGATATAGTCTCTATTATCAGTTTGTTTTCTATCCATGAGGTTGGATTATTTTGATTCTTTGTATTCTTACTTATTTTGTAAAATTTATTTAACCTTCTTCTGCTGAGTGATGTGTTAAAATACCCTACAAATAGTGCTCTGTTTCTTCTTGCATCTTCTGTAGTTTCTGCATAGATAATCATAACTGTTGTGCCTTTATTATGAATTGCAGCTTTTAGCAGTAAGTATTCTTCTCTATCTTGTTTGATGTCTTTTGGCCTTACTTCTACGATTTCCGATAACAGGAGGATTGCAGCCTTTGCATTCTTATTATTTTCCTTTACTTTTCCTTTGGATTTCACCTTTTGAAATATGCACTTCACTTGTTTTTTGTATGAAGTACAGCATTATGTTTTGTTTTAAATATGCATATCTTTGTCTTCTAAAGGAGAATAAAGTCTATTCACTCTATTGATATGATGTATGTGTTAGGCCTCAGCTCTATCATACTATTTTTCTTATGATTCTGTATTGTATTTAAAGCTACTTTATTTCTTTAGCTTTTATGTTTGTTTGTTGTTATCTTGCTTAAAGCTTCTTTGAGTATTCAGGCTAGCTTGAATTTTTATTTTAGTGGTTATTTTTATATTTACATATTTTATAATATCCTAATATCCTAATCTCATTTTTTCTTGCTTAACCTTAATATCTAGTCAGTTATGGCCGGGCGCGGTGGCTCACGCCTGTAATCCCAGGACTTTGGGAGGCCAAGGCGGGTGGATCATGAGGTCAGGAGATCGAGACCATCCTCGCTAACACGGTGAAACCGCGTCTCTACTAAAAATATTAAAAAATTAGCTGGGCGTGGTGGCGGGTGCCTGTAGTCCCAGCTACTCAGGAGACTGAGGCAGGAGAATGGCATGAACCTGGGAGGCAGAGCTTGCAGTGAGCCGAGATCGCGCCACTGCACTCCAGCCTGGGCGACAGAGCGAGACTCCATTTAAAAAAAAAAAATCTAGTCAGTTATTTTTAATCTTTGAGTCTTAACTGCTACCTACACAACAGTCAGTAATCTCTAGTTTCCACTTTTCTCTCCCTCTTCTCTCATTTTATTGTTGCATCTTTCCTTTTTTGTCAGAATATATAATGTTTACATTCTGTATTGTTTCTCCTATTCATCAAGTCTTACTAATTTCCTGAGTCATCTTTTGGTTACATAAAGCTCATTCTCCAGGAGGCTGGGGCGGGAAGATTGCTTGAGCCTGGGAGATCGAGGCTGCTGTGAGCCATTATCATACCACTGAGCTTCAGCCTGGGCAAGAGAATGAGACCCTGTCTCAGAAATAAATAAATAACAATTTTTAAAAAGTGCATTCTCTACTAGAGTCCTCAGGACATCACATAAGTATAGAATTCTCTGACATTTTCATATTCAGAATTATTTTTTCTAAAGCCTTAATAAATGAAAGACAGGTATTTGTATATTAAATCTTTGGTTTATACATTTTAAAATTTTTTGAAATGCTACCTTACTATTGACTTGCTTTGAATATGCCTTTTAATAGTGCTGACATTAGTTTAATTCATTTTCCATTATGGGCTACTTTATCTCTATGTCTGAAGGCCTTGAATGTTTTTTTCCCCTTTATACTTTAATCTAACAGTTTCAGTAAGAATGTTATTCTGTAGAAGTTTTGCCAGGTACACAGTGGAGTCATGCAATATGTAAACTCAAATCTTCTTTTATTTTCAGATAGTTCCCCTGAATTATAATTGTAAATATTGGTCTTTCCATTTTTTTTGTTCTAAAAAAATCTCTGTACATTTGTTGGATCTTCCTTGCCTGCTTTCCAATTCAATCACTTTGTGACCTGTTTTAATTCATTCTTTTTCAGTTTTGTTCTGTTGTTTTTCCTCTGTGCTGCTTTTAAAGTTTTCTCTGAACAATTTTCTCTTGATGTCCTTGTACTTTAGAGTTTATTTATGATATAATTTTGTCTAGTTTTCCTGAGTTCAATAAAGCCTCATTTTATTTCTTCTTGGGTTTTGTCCATTTCTGTATTTTCTTAATAGAATTTCTGACTCATGGTGCCTTTTAAATACCTCAAATACATGCTTGAGAATATTTCACTCATGTTAAATTATTTTGGCATGGCTTTTCTTTGTTTACTTATTTATTTACTTAGTGACTTTAGTGGAGAAGTTTCATTAGCTGAAGTGTTTTGGTTTGCATTTCCTATTTTCTCTTACAGAAGCTTTGTATGGAGTTGATTTTTTCTAGTTCTTGATATTTTGTGCAGGGTGTTCATAGGTGAAGAGCGCCCTTTCTATTTTTTTTTTTTTAGTAAAATGCATTATTTTTAAAATGTTGGTGATGGAAATGAGGGTGGAGGGAGTTATTTTATCCTATGACATCCTTTCCTTTTTTAAATTCCCTGTCTCCAAGGATCTGCATACCTCTTCTTGTGATCTGATTATTTCCCCTTAGCCATGTTTTTTGGAAGCTTCCACTTCCAGGCCCATTCAGTCCAAGCCCTTTCCCTGTGTGCTGTACTGGGAACTGTTGAGTCCGAAAACTATGATTTGTATTTTTAACAATGCTAGACTTTCTCTTACCTGGAGTTGACTTGGTGTGTGTTTCTTCTCATTTCTCCATGCCATTCTGCTCTCTTTTTCTCTGCAGTCTCTTAAGCCTTCCCTCTGCAATAGCAGTAGAAGCTCTCTTGGCATTTGGTGTTTGTTTCTCTACTAAGAAATAATTTGAAGATCATGGTATTCTCTGTATTGTAGTAATGTTAAAGATATTAGTCATGAGTATCCTTACTTGTTCTCTTTGTTGATTTTATGTTTTCTTCAGAAGATTATGTAAGAAGATTTAAAATCAGGCAGCTAAGATTATTCTCCAGACTTAGAAATTCTAGCATTATAATTGACTGTGTGTACAATGGGCCTTGGATTAATCAATAGTCAGGCATTGCTTTCTTACATTCTCTCTTAAATCCTGCGCCCAAGCTGAGAAATTCTGTGAACATGACATCAGTTGCCTAAAACAAAACTGGTTTGCTCTTTTGAAAGGAAGAGCTTATGTGAAAATACTGGATTAAATATGATGGCCGTGCTCTTAAAGAAAAGAACAAGAATAAATGGTACAGTAGACAATTTGCCAATTTTGTAATTTTAAAAGAAGTGCTTAAAATTATTGGGAAATGTTTTTTCTCATAGGTGTATAACATGGTTCCAAGTATAGAGCCGTATGGTTATTTCTACCATGGCCTCAATCTTGATGATGGCAAGGAAGACCCTTGCATTCCTCAGAGGGATATGTTCTACAATGGTTTATATTACACACCTGTAAGCAACTATGGGGATGGAGATATCTATAATATTGTCAGGGTAAGATCACTAAGGATTTTGGAAAATATTTCATCACAATTTTTAGTATTCATAATGCATATTAATGTTTTCTTAATTATGTAGTTTTCTTCCTATACTTTGAGATTCGTGTCTGTAATCTGCCAATAGAGTACATAGAAATTGTCTTATAAAAAGGAGATATTAATTTTGTTGATTTTAAAATTTTCTGCTGAAAATAAATCATGTAGCTATAATTACAAAACCTCACTTAAAAAAATAAGACAGCCTCCAATTAATACAATAAATCTTATGCAAAGATTGTCAAATCAAGAGGCTAAGAGAGTGTGGACTCCAGATATCCCTAGGCCATTAATGAGACATGCTGAGCCTTCCATGAAATAATCTCTATAATTAACATCACAAGTGTGTAAGAAAAGGGGTATTGAATCAGACAGACTTTATCAGGTTCCAGTTCTTTAATTTACTGAGTGTGCCGGGTGTGTGTGTGTGTGTGTGTGTGTGTTTGATGTTAATTAGGGTAATGATAGTGCTGATCTCATAAGTATTTTCCACTTAGGATGAAATGGAGAATAATGGAAAATACTTAGAAAAATGCTAGCACATAATAAGTGCTAGATAAATCATAGTGATTATAATTTTTTCTCTAAATTAGGGATTTTCCATAAGTCAAATAGAGGTAAGTTGACTTGTAACTTCTCAGACCTTTGTTAACACAGAAAATATGGATACTTATGATCCATTTATCTTTGCAATATAAATAATAGGCCTTTTATAGTTCTTGCATGAAAAGAATGAACAATATTTTTGTTGTTTGTTTCTTTAAAGAACATGGGTCTCAAAGTCTTTACCAATCTCCATTACCGAAAACCAGAAGTATGTGTGATGGAGAGAAGGCTGCCACTCCCTAAGCCGCTTTATCTAGAAACAGAAAATTATGGTCCAATGCATAGTGTTCCGTCTAGAATTGCATGTAGGTAATCTTACATTTTTTTGTTGGGGGATGACCAAACCGCTTTGTGGAATTTAGTGTATTTGGGATAAATGATGCAATTTTGGAATTTTATGTGTGAATTATGCCATGTTTTTGGCTACAATTAGACATCCTATAGTTGGATAAAGCAGAATAAGACAGACTAGACATGCTTTTGGCTATAACAAGAAATTAGCTTCAGATGTGAGATGTAGTTTATTTTTATTGATAAAATACAATGTCAGAAATACAGTCATGCTTCACTTAGTGATGGAGAATTTGTTCTGAAAAATGCATTGTTAGGTGATATTGTTGTGCGAACATCATAGAGTGTACTTACGCAAACCTAGATGCTGTAGCCTGCAACACACCTATGCTATGTGGTACAGCCCATTTTTCCTAGGCTACAAACCTCCGCAGCATGTGACTATACTGAATACTGTAGGCAGTTGTACCACGATGATAACTATTTGTGTATCTAATCATTGCTAAACATGGAAAAGGCACAGTGAACATGTGGTATACAAGATAAAAAAAAGTTATACTTTTATATAGAGCACTTCCCATGAATGGAGCTTGCAAGGTTAAAAGTTACTCTGAGTGAGTCAGGGTACAAATATATTTTCTTTGTTTACATTCTTATTCTATAAGCTTTTTCCTATTTTTAAATTTTCTTTAACTTTTATACTTTTTTGTTTAAAACGAAGATGCAAACACACACATTAATCTAGGCCTATACAAGGTCAGGATCATCAATATCACTGTCTTCTACCTCCACATCTTGTACCGCTGAAAGTTCTTCTGGGGCAATAACATGCATGGAGCTGTCATCATCTATGATAGCAATGCCTTCTTCTGGAACATCTCCTGAAGGACCTGCCTGAAGCTGTTTTGCAGTTAATTTTTTTGATAAGTAAGAACAGTACACTCTAAACAGTAAACAGTATAGTATAGTAAGCACAAAAACCGGTAACATAGTCATCATTATCAAGTATTATGTACTGTACAAAATTGTGTCTGCTATATTTTTATAGGACTGGCAGTGCAGTAGGTTTGTTTACACCAGCATTACCACAAACCCATGACCAATGCATTGCACTACAACGTTATGATGGCTTTGATGTCAATAAGTGGTAGGAATTTTTCAGCTCCATTCTAACTTTATGGGACCACTGTAGTCTAAGTGGTCTGTCATTGATCACAGTGTCATTATGTGGTACCTGACTGTGTAGGGGAACAGGCAATGTATGGTGATACAGGAAAACAGTCATAGTAAGTGACTGTGATACAGGAAAGTGAGGTGTTTTATGGAGACCTTACACCCTGATAATATATAGACTATAATTTGCAGAGTCCAAGGTCTGAATAAGGTACTTCTTCCTTTTTTTTTTTAGCTAGTGGAATCAGAGGGGAGAATGCTGACTATGTAGAACAGGCTATAATTCAAACAGTAAGAACAAACTTCCCAGAGACATGGATGTGGGACCTCGTCAGTGTCGAGTGAGTTTTAACCATTTTCTCTCCTATGTGTCTTTATTTCTATTTTCTTTTTCTTTCTTCAGGTTTATTCCTGGGTATATAAAACAGTACCATATTTGTAAAATATATATCATTGATTTGCATGTACTTATCATACATTTTATTTTATTTTTTTCTCTAGCATTGTTTTCCCTTCACCAAGAGTTTCTCTTCTATTCATTTTATGCAGACAGATTTAACCTGCCCCAATTAAAAAAAAAAGTGGCGTTTAAAGAAAAATGACCTTTCTATACTCAAATTTTATAAAAATCCAGCTCTCATTATTTTTATCTAATGCCCCATCCAAACAATATAACTCACTTTTGAGCTTCAGTCAATACTTTTCTGCTTGCTCTGCACTTAATTTTAAGTTCTTGGTTCAGACAAAGAATGTGTTTTACCGATAACCTCTTCTTCCAGTTCCTCAGGCTCTGCCAATCTTTCGTTCCTCATTCCTGATACGATAACCCAATGGGAGGCAAGTGGCTTTTGTGTGAATGGCGACGTTGGATTTGGCATTTCCTCTACAACCACTCTAGAAGTCTCCCAACCTTTCTTTATTGAAATTGCCTCACCCTTTTCGGTTGTTCAAAATGAACAATTTGATTTGATTGTCAATGCCTTCAGCTACCTGAATACATGTGTAGAGGTGCGTTGTTCTGTTTGATCTGGAGGCAAAAATCTAACAAAGCTAAAATATTCTTAATATTTCCATATTCTCTTTATCCTCAAGTGCAAAATGCTACTATAAAGGTATAAGACTTAGGTCCATATTCCTCAAACAAATACAATTGCTTTCATTCACAGTGACAGTTTAAACAGTGTATTGAGCATGGTGTTTCATAGTGATGTGTGTTCCAGTGCTATCCTCATTGCCATGATTGTTTTCTTAGATTTCTGTTCAAGTGGAGGAGTCTCAGAATTATGAAGCAAATATTAATACCTGGAAAATCAATGGCAGTGAGGTTATTCAAGCTGGAGGGAGGAAAACAAACATCTGGACTATTATACCTAAGAAATTGGGTAAGCAGCTATCTGTCTACACCAGTCACTCATGGAAAAACCAGCCCATATTTATTGTCTCCATTTACTTTCCTTATATTGTCTATACAAACGTGATTTTCTCCCTCACATTTTTAAAATTCTTATTGTAAATTCTCCATTAGAAATTCTAATCTATAGTAATCTAATTTCTGGTTGTTAATGCTGTGTAGATCAAAACCACCATTCATTTTTACAAGAGCATAATGTAATTAAAATACAATATAAATGCTAACTGGCATGACCTATCATGGACTATATGTTTGGCATATGCCATATCCCAAATGAAGGCCATGCTATCATTAATGCCACCTTAATTATTTGACTTCTCGCTGGGTCCTTCACCTACCATCATGAACCCAGGCCACCTTCAAGAAAATTGCTGCTCCATCACAATGACCAATGAGGGAATTGTCAGGTTTGTAAATTTACTAGATGTGCCATGGGGATACCAAAATCACTAAATGATTGGATTGAGATAAAAAACTGAGAATATTGTCTTAGTGCCTATGCTATCTGCAAGATGGAAAAATAAACTTGTCTCCTATTGAAATATTGAAAATACATGGAATGGAAAAAGTTTAAAATTCTAGTAAACAAGGAATGCTAGATACGATGTGCGTGACACTTTTAATCACTACTTTTAAAAAATGGCCATTCAAATGTTCTTTAATGTACTATATTCATTGTATTATTTTAACAGCAAATAATATATCTATGAGATTATTTTAGCTCAGTTGTGATGCTGTTCTCAGACTATTTTTCTATTAGATTTGAAGTTTCTCAATATTTCTACTGCACAAGATCTTCAAAATCCTACCTTGGCAATTGAGACAGAATACTGTACCAACTTGTATAGTTTTATGACATTAAGTCGAAGACACAGTTTTAAGAGTGAAATAGCAAGCTTCCTGAGACAGAGAAACACTAAAACACAACAACAACAACAACAACAACAAAGAGAACAATATATTGGTTATGTATATTGGTATATAGTCACGTAAATAATAATAACCTTAAAGAATGAATGATTGTTTTCAATCCTGTAATTTTCACAAGCAAGGAAACTGGAGATCAGTTCTAATTACATAATGTGAAATCAGGAAGTTTAAAAACAATGGATTCCTTGCTAGGACATTATTTCAATCCAGTGCCTATCTACTATATCATATTTTACTATGCTTGCTTGATTTTGGGAAGTTAGGAGCCCTAGTTCGCTGACATTATTAGCCTATATTGTCATAAGTAACCTTTATAAACAATCAATATCAGGAAATTGACTCAGACAACTTTGTAAAATGTTACTTTTCCTAAAATTTCTTAAGTTTTAATTAAGTAAATTTATCATTTAATGTAAGGAATCATGAAAATCATGGAACAGGTGAAATGGAAGATACCACATTATACCTAGGAAGGAGAAGAAATAAGTTATTTTGTTCTAAGCATTAACTTAATGATAGAATTTGGTTAATCCAATTCAAGACATGGTTCACAGACTCTAGTCATTTCTCATTACAGAAGGGACCAATGATCAATTTAATTTATATTTGGGAATGTCTTCCAGGTAAAGTGAATATCACTGTAGTTGCTGAGTCCAAACAAAGCAGTGCTTGCCCAAATGAAGGAATGGAGCAGCAAAAGCTAAACTGGAAAGACACTGTGGTCAAAAGCTTCTTAGTAGAGGTATGGATATGCAAACAGTCAAGCTTTTCCTGAAAAGAAACAGACATCTAAGAGGTTTTGTATTAAAAGATCTTCTCATTGAAGAGACTTAATTAGTTGACAACATTTACTTTTGACACAAGACATGCCATTTTAAATGAATTAAAACAGCATAAAGTTCATCCTTTCTTTAATTAATACCTCACCCAGGATAGTAAAACTTAACATTTGAAATAGACTTGACAATTTTTTGTTTGTTTCTGAGTCAAGATGTTTCCTGTACACCTATTTCTCTTCCTTCTCTTTTTCTGATTCTCAAATTCAAGAGACAAATCTACTTGTCCTACACTCCCATGCAGTTCCCGTCATCCTCAACAAGAATCAGCACTTGTCAGAGGAACACTCTTGATTTGCCTCTTGGCAATCCCTGCTCCACAAAGCACTTTTAGTTGTTTACTGGAGATGCTATACAGGATCAGAGGAGCTGAGAGTGTCCCACAGTGACATCAAGATAATGCCTGTCCAAGCTACAGAACGCAGAGGCTAAAATGGGTACCGGTGATGTCCCGTGCCTTCCAGATATGAACAAAAGGGGAAGATGAGTTGGATCTTCTCTCAGGGATAAACTTGCACCAGCCATGCTTAAGTGAGCTGGTGCTTAATCACTTTTCCTTCATGGACAGAGGATCTAGACTCATTCTTCTGTGCTTGTTTGTGTTATTCTTTGACAGCCTGAAGGTATTGAAAAGGAAAGGACCCAGAGTTTCCTTATCTGTACAGAAGGTAAGAGGATCTTTTAGGGAGTCAAATTAGTCCTAAATAAAATTCACCAAAAGAATCAGTTCATGTCCTCTCCTTCCACATGAGTCCATGTGCCCTGTGATTTCACTTTAAATAACTCGTGGAGGATTCTTGTGTTTCATGCTTTATCTTTATGGTATAATTTTAGCCATCAAAAAGAATATTCAGGAGGTGGTTTTTAGTTCACTTTCTGAGGCTGGTCTGCTCCTATCTATTTTTTTTTCCATCATGTGTACTCTTAGCTCCTCTTATGATATGGTTGTCACACAATATTGGACAATGAGATATTAGGATTGAGGCCCAATAGCACATAATATAATCTTGGCTTTTGTACTCTTAGGAGAAAATAACCCATAGATACATCACTGCCCCTGCACCTCAGTCTCCGGTTTTATGGCCATGAGGGGTATTATTTTACCTGGTTGATGGTGATCTGATTATACTCCTTCATCTGAGTCTTCAAGCTTTACCTTTTGTGTGTGTTGTTTTATGTGTTACAGTCAGTGTAGTTTTTACATTTTTTCATACATAAATAGTTCAGGCACTAAACCAGTGAAGAACGGGGGCCACAATCTAACACACAGATTTATATGCCATTTTCTGAATGTACTATTATCCTAAACTGGGTCAAAACTCCAAATTCATCTCCTCTAATAAACAACTTGTAAAATAAAAATAAGTAATGGAATCTTATTTCCAATATGTTTATCCCCCAAATCTGCTGATATAAAGAAGCCATCACATTTTTTAAATCAGTATTTTCATTCTAGGTGCCAAAGCCTCCAAGCAGGGAGTTTTGGACTTGCCAAATGATGTAGTAGAAGGGTCAGCCAGAGGCTTTTTCACTGTTGTGGGTAAGTTGATCAAATTTTGTGTTTCACTATGATTTGAAAATCTTGGTTGAGGTGGTCTTTAAAAATCCTTAAAATAATAGAATAGAGAGATTTTCCTAAGCTATCAATTGGAGGGAATTATTGATCAGATCATCCTCTATGTTTCCTGATGGGATCTAAAGGGATTACAGTACCGTTTCCAGACCTATATTCCCAGGAAACCTTAGCTTGGGTAGATGGTAACTAGTGTTCAGAAAGCAAGAGGTTCTTTATAATCATTAATCTGAAATATGAAATTCACCTCTTGGAGAATCGAATTGACTTTGCCTGTTAATGATGTTGGGAGTTTTCTCAATAAAAGGAGAAATTTTTGTTGTTGATACAAAAGGCAAACTTCTTTGTCTGTTATTAACATGAACATCTCTTGGAAGGGATGGATTACACTTTGTAATTCATAGGATTGATTGATTAAAAAAAACTAGCAAACAAGCAAACAAATGCATTCTCCTAACTTCCTCCTCTCTCTGGTAATGAGATTTTCAGAAATATTTTTCATAGCAGTTTAACTTCACCCTTCATGGCTGTCTCCTCTTTCAAATTGCTTCATAAAACTTTCTTTGTTTCCACCATTTAGACTCAATTTTAAATGTTACCTATTTCACTATGCCTCTTTTGTCTATAGTTATTAATGCTGAGATGGCAACTATAAACAATACAGCTTTCCGCTTTTCCTGTTTTTAGGGGATATTCTAGGACTTGCCATGCAGAATCTGGTTGTTCTCCAAATGCCCTATGGAGGTGGAGAGCAGAATGCTGCCCTACTAGCATCTGATACTTATGTTCTGGACTATCTGAAATCTACTGAGCAACTGACAGAGGAAGTTCAATCTAAGGCTTTCTTTCTCTTATCTAATGGTGAGAAGATTTAAGTAATTTCTGCCCATAATTTTTGAAAGCAATTGTTACTCATACCAAGATGTCATAAGCTGTTTTTATGCAGTAGTCTGGTGAAAGAAAAGTGAACCTGAACCGAGGAACTCTCAGTCCTAGCGCTGTTTTCCGTCTGACTTCAAAATCTGTGTGGTCAGCTAGCGTCATAATTTACAGCTGCAAAGTTTTCAAGCTATGCACTTAATTTTTTTTTAATGTCTGGTATTTTGCAAGCTACCTTGTTTATTGTTGTTATTATTGTTGTTTTTGTTAGGAGTTGTTGTCAGTGGTTCATCTATCAACGTCTGTATTTGTTTGCTCAGCTGTGGTCTGTTGCAGTGAAGTGATTGGCTTTGTATACACAAAGAGGGCCAATGTTGTGAACTGTGAGGTTAAGGAAAAGTCCAGGAGCATAAAATAATCTTCTTTGGTTTTTCTTCTCAGAAAGATAACACTGAAATAAAATGACCTTAGGGGAAATATACTGAATAGTTAGTAGGTACCAATGACGAGGCAATTACTGAGCCAGACATATCCATGTGTATTATCTTGTGATCAAAATCCTATAAAGTAAGAGTTATTTTTTCTCCCTTATGAATACAGAACCTGAGTTTCAGAAGTTCAAATGGAAATGATCATCCTAGTGATTTGTGTCTAACACCAATACCTAGGGCTTGCACTGCACTATTCTTTCTCTTCTAACTTTCTTAGGTTAAAAAATAATTTCCTACAATGTTCTATTTTAGGTTATCAAAGGCAATTATCTTTCAAAAACTCTGATGGTTCCTATAGTGTGTTTTGGCAGCAGAATCAGAAAGGAAGCATATGGTGAGACATAAAAATTTTATTTTATATAATATAGGAATTACCTGAGGAGGGCTTGCAAGGAGGTGAAGGAGGATAGAGTTCAGTGGGGATTTAGAAGCAAAGTGGGTTTCAAAGTCAATTTACAGAAGAGAAATAGATAAAACTAAAGATTTAGTGATTCCAATTCTAATGCAACAATGTTCCTTCAGTCTCATGACGATTTGCTTAGCAGTCTGATCCTTTCATGACAGCCCCTAGACATGCACCGCTGGTTAACTCCACCGAAGAGGGCACGGCACGTCTTACTCTGTGCTTCTCAGAGTCCCATATAGATTCGGGAAAGTGAAATTAGAAGGACCCAAAATACCTAATTACATCATTTCTCTCTCCATGTGCAGATAATCTAATGGGCTATATACAACAGGACCTTTGGGTGCAAACATGCTGAAAATTACCTACTCTAATTTCCACTTATTGCTAGTCATAATATTTTCCTGACCCAAAGGAAAGGGCCACTAACAATAAAGATGGTTTACAGTAGATGAGTTGAATGCATCCTTTACTCAAAGGGAACAATGGTGATGAAACTGTGGAATTGCTGACATTGTCACTTCCTCTTTATCTAACTTTTGCTTTGGTGATTTGTATTACAGGCTCAGTGCTCTTACTTTTAAGACATTGGAGAGAATGAAAAAATTTGTATTCATTGATGAAAATGTTCAAAAACAGACCTTAATCTGGCTTTCAAGCCAACAGAAAACAAGCGGCTGCTTTAAGAATGATGGCCAGCTTTTCAACCACGCCTGGGAGGTGAGAGAGGAGAAGCACCAGGCTTTCCTTGTTCCTGGGCATTGCCTGCCTTGCCCTGCCTCTGGCTTTCCTGATCTGGAATATGAATATTCTTCCTGTGCCTATGAAACCTTCTGAGGCACTGCAGTCCTGGGCCTGTGGTGGGTTGGTCAGCAGCACCATTCCTGCTTTGTGCATGTTTAACTACAGCCTGGATGTGACTCCTTCTGAGTCTCTTGTCTGCCTTATTCAGTCTCTAGTCCTTCCCGAGTCAGTCCTCTTCAGAAATTAAACTAGAAATAGAAGGGAGGGGAGAGAAAGGGAACCTAGAAAAGAAACTTTCATAAATTTGGAGACAGTCAATGTATAAAGGGAGGGGGCTGTGAGTGTATGAGGAAGGAAAGTTTATTCCTGTCCATGAATGGCAAGAAAGTTCTGGGGAGAATATCTAGTAATTCATATTGTTTCAATGAAGCAAGTTTTTCTAAGACCCTCTCAAGGAAAAATTCAAAGGCCAAGCTTGCCCCGGGGCCAAAGTACAAATGAGGTGAAGTATATCCTTGGCAAAATCCAACCCTTTTCCTGTCCATATTTACGTAAATCCCTCCCTTCCAACTTCCTTTCTTTGCAGATACCTGTCCATCTCCAGCCCATCTTCTATCTCCTTTCCCCTCCTTTTTTCCCCTGTGGTTGCTCAAAATCTCCTATCATGGCATTTTAGCATGCTCTGATGGCCCCTGAAATACCCTGAGCTTTTCTTCAGCATCCTTCCTCATAATCAGCACTCCTGTTCTTGAAACCCAGAATGCATATCTAATCCACCTCAAAATATGAATGAAAACAGACACTCTGATATTTAATTTGCATGCAAATTGTATTCAAATTGCTTTGTGGTATTTTTAATGTATTCCAAACTTATTCCTTACAACAGGAGGACCCTGATGGAGAAGAGCTCTTACTCCTTCATAGAAAAATCAAAAACTTTCCCACGTTCTCTTCTAAAACATCTTCACATCTTTCTTCTTATTGGATTCATTACTGGTGAATCATTGCTGATTACTGCTACAGTTTGTCTGATCTTACCTAGTATTTTCTCTATAATTAAATATCTGTGTGGGTGGGTGTCTGTGTGTGTTTTGAGTTGAGAGAAATAAAAATGCAAGGGAAAAATCAAAGCTTACACTGCTGAGGAATGGTGATCCCACTTGCTGTAATTTAGATGTACTGACAGTCCTCGTACCTCATGTTAGTGTCTACCATATGCTGTTATTTCCATCTTAAACACTTGGTTTCTCAGAAGTATTTCTTTTCTGAAGAAGACAGGAGTTGTCCTTTGCTTAAATAGATAAAATGGGAAGCTTCTACAAGATCAGTAGATCCCAGATGCCATTCTGAATGCTATTTGCATCAGAGTCACTAGAGCACCCATTAAAATGCATTTTGCTGTCGTATTCCCAAGTTTTTTGAACCAGAATCTCTGTGTAGACACTGGTTGATTTAAATACCCCAGGGGAGTTTTATGCACAGTCAGTTTGCAAACCACATGATTTATAAATGAGTTTCTCATTTTACACTCTAAGAATCTGAGACTTGATTCTGGTGATCTCCTAGGGTGCTTTTCCAGGAATTTCCAGGAATCTTCACGGCAACTTTCTGCTTCACCTCATTAGAAATTCTTTGTTGGCTTTTTTCAGATTTATACCAAGCGGAGACAAATAGAGTCCTGTGAATTCCTTAGAATGCATGCTTAACACCAGGCCACATAAATATGATTGAAATTAATTGTTATAACAACTTAATAATTATGATTTAATTATTGCATAGAGTCTGAATGAATTCTTGCTTAGATAGTATGGTTATTAACCATCTAATTTAAAAACTACACATGTTCGGGTGTTTTTATGAATAATGGTATTTGTTCCAGTATTTTTTTCATACCTAGTTTTACTTCAAAAGAATACTTGCTATTTTGTGCTCTGCTGTCCCGAATGACTCATTGTTCCTTTGTTTTCAGGGTGGAGATGAAGAGGACATTTCACTCACTGCATATGTTGTTGGGATGTTCTTTGAAGCTGGGCTCAATTCCACTGTATGGATTCCCGTCATTTCTGATTTCAGGCAGCTGAATGCACATTCAATAGACTGTAGAGTCAGAGTCACTTGAGATTCTAAGACTGGATGAAACCCCGAGATAACATTTAGTTTATTACCACCCTTTAAATTCATGCTGTTCAAACTGTTTTTCATTCATAGACAGCTTTGAAAAACAGGATTGGGTTTCTCCCTAGGGAGAATACACATATGCACACAAAAAAGAGTTATTCACACAATTGCAGGCATTCACATCTCTCCTGAAGTTCAGCCATGAATTTCAGATTAAGAACCACTGTTCTAAGTAAAGCCGTGGCCTAGTATTCTGTTTCTCTCTAAACAATAAGTGAGTAAACATTTTCAACTTAAGTGTGGCTCACCCTAGCCACCTCCCAATCCATAGATTAGATTTCCAAAATCTATTCCTGAACTAAGATGCTAGGAATTGTCAGGGTCATTAGTATACCCTGAAAATTATCTTCAGAAATGTAAGCCTCTATTTTAGGCATTAGAAAAAAAAAACTCTTAGGCCTATGATAAATTTGGATGCTTTGCCGCATAGAAGACATTCATAACTAAAATATCACTGATCAAATATAAAAACTGCCATTTTCTTACTAAATTTCATTGGGCCGGGCATGGTGGTTCATGCTTATAATCCAAGCACTTTGGGAGGCTGAGGTGGGTGGATTACCTGAGGTCAGGAGTTCAAGACCAGCCTGGCCAACATGGTGAAACCCTATCTCTACTAAAAATACAAAAATTAGCTGGGCTTGGTGGTGCATGCCTGTGATCCCAGCTACTCGGAAGATGGAGGCAGGAGAATCGCTTGAACCTGGGAGGTGGAGGTTGCAGTGAGCTGAGATCATGCCACTGCACTCCAGCCTGGGTAACAGAGCGAGACCCTATCTCAAAAAAAATTATTGCTTAGGTACTAATAATGACATTATAAATTTATTTTAATGATATTTTTGAAGGATAAAATATATGTGTGTATATAAATGGATTTGTATGTAAAATATACTTTGAGGATATATTATATATATTATAAACAATGATTAGTTTAAATGTTCAACAAGTTCATGGAATGTTCGGGTATCAGTTTACAATATATGATTCTTCTTCCTGACCAACAGTTTCCTGCTCTACGAAACGCACTCTTTTGCCTTGAAGCGGCATTGGACAGTGGTGTCACTAATGGCTACAATCATGCAATTCTAGCTTATGCTTTTGCCTTAGCTGGAAAAGAGAAGCAAGTGGAATCTTTACTCCAAACCCTGGATCAATCTGCCACAAAACTAAGTAAGCGTTATTATTCATTGTTGCTAATGGAGGTGATCTTGGAGCACAGTGAGGAAGCGTTCTAAGCAGTCACATAGGAGCTCCCTCTTGACCAGTATGTTTCTGTTTCTCTTATGGAATTTATCAGTGGCCTTTATACCTTTCAAGAACGCTACATATTCTAGACTTTCCTCTTTTGCTTTATGCTAGCTTCCTCTCAAATGAGTGATGTCAGGGGAATCAAGCCTGGTGACCAAGCCATAGGCTATCAAAACTGCTGGGGAAGCTTAATCACCTGCTACTTAGAAAGTTGCTATTGAAGGCTGTAGTAGTTTGCTATAGCTGTCATAAAATACCACATACTGGATGACTGCAGCAATAGAAGTTTATTTTCTCATGCTTCTGGAGGCTAGAAGTCTAAGTTCAAGGTGTTGAAAGTGGTTTCTTCACCTGCAGATGACCACATTCTTCCTTTGTCTTCACAAGATCTTTTGTGTGTGCACAGCCCTGCTCTCCCTTTTGTGTGTCCAAAATTTTTCTTCTCATAAGGTCACCAGTCAGATTGGATTGTGGCCCATAAGCTTCATTTTAACTTAATCACCTCTTTAAAAAGTCTTATCTCCAAATACAGCCACATTTTGAGGTACTTGGTGTTAGGGCTTCAACATATAATTTTAGGGGAACAATTCAGCACAAACAGAGGTCGGGAATGGAATTTTCATCCTTCTTTATGTGTAACCCATGACTTTTATGCAGACTATGTGAAAATTCTTCCTTTTTCTCAGATAATGTCATCTACTGGGAAAGAGAAAGGAAACCCAAGACAGAAGAATTTCCATCCTTTATTCCCTGGGCACCTTCTGCTCAGACTGAGAAGAGTTGCTATGTGCTGTTGGCTGTCATTTCCCGGAAAATTCCTGACCTCACCTATGCTAGTAAGATTGTGCAGTGGCTTGCCCAACAGATGAATTCCCATGGAGGCTTTTCTTCCAACCAGGTGATTAATGTAGGCCTGATATTAATAGCAATATGTTTAATGCAGAAGCTGTAACTCTATGACGAGTGAGATATTAATAGTAAAGCTATCACAACAAACCCTTTCTGAGAAGAAGAATCTTTGGTAATAAGATTCTTATTATCTTATTAATCTTATTTTATTTCCTCAACAATTATTTATTGGCCAGTTATTGTGTATGAGGCACTCTACTAGGAAGCCTCTAAATAGAAATGAATGAAATGAGGTCTCCCGTTCCAGGAATTTATGACCATTAGTATCTTCATTCACACAGCGAACATAGAATAAGTCTAGAGGACATTTTTGTCGTAAGCACCACTCTTGGTGGTACATTAGACACCTGATGATACTCTGTTCAAATTATATACGGGCCAAAAAGAAAGCTTTCGCTCTAGTTCTGTGGGCTATACACTGGGAAAAGCAAATGAAAAGAAGGAAAACAGGAGAAATGGGGGGTATGAGAAACAATGACATGTTTTTCCTTACTTGGAAACAAATTGAAAATGCAAAAAAGCAGTTTTATTTCCATGAGAAAAATCTGCATTTCTCTTTGTGTTTGGTCTTAGTTTCGGAGTAAAACCATATGCTAATGAATTTCCAAAGATCTTTTCCTGATTCTGAATTCCCTTCTTTGAAGATGAACAGAAAAAAAAGAATTATCCATGGCAGCCACAGGGGCCACTGAATTATGTAATGCCTTAACTTTTAGAAAAGCTTTGACACCATTTTTAACCAAGTAGGCTATATTTTATTAAAAATTTTTAGAAAGTAAAAATATAATTAACATTTGTTGAAAAAAATTAAGTGGAAACAATTTGCACAAGCAAGGATATTTTCCTATCATTCAGGATATTGCTTCTTGGTGTTTTGCTGACCTGTTTTAGGAAGGTTTCTAAGGGTTGATATTGAAGTCCATGGTCAAATGATGACCAATATTGTGTTGTAACTGAGCTTGGATCATTGTTTGTGCTGTTCTGTGCAGGAAACTGCAGTTTGTCTTCTTGCCATAACCCGCTACATAACCCGTGAGGCGGGGACTGAGAGCCAGGAGGGGAAGAGGGGGAGAGGATGATAATAATTTCAGCATCGCCGGCTGTGTTCACCCAGCCTGTGAAATTGTTATTAATATCCTGAAAGGGAGAGAATGATATTACTCCCCATAATAGACAGATACGACTCCGCATAATAGAGCACGAGGTATACACCCACCCTGTGATATTCTTCCTCATATTCAGAGGCCGAGAAGTTGATATTACTCCCAATATCACAGGACGTATACACCCTCGTGTTAGATGGTCCTTAATAATATTCCAAGGCGGAGTGGGTGATGTGACTACATATATGGCAGAAAGGGTACACCCCCATGGGATATTGTTCCCACGATCCTGGAGGGAAGAAAATGATATCACTTTCAATATGACAGAAGGTGGACACGGCCCCACTGATATTGTTTCTCATTGCAACGTGGGAGAGGAGGATGCGACACGCGATATCGCAGGGAGTAGAAACACCCCTGTGATACTGTTCTTAATATTCAGGGAGGAAGAGGATGATATTACTCCCAATACAGACGGGTGTACACCCTCTGTACACCAAGGTTGTACACCCGTCTGTGAAACAGTTCATAATCTCCAGAGGGGGAGATGATATTACTCACAATATGGTAAACAGGCTGTGAGTCCACCGCGGATCCTAAGAGCCAGGGGGGGAAGAGGGGCTGGCTCTCAGTCACCACAGCATGGGTGGCCTTTATGTTCAGGTTTTGCCCAAGAGTCAGCTTATTTGCTTCTAGTACTAGCAGGGTAGATGCTGCCAAGGCCCTCAAACAGGGGGGCCATCCTTTAAAAACCCTGTCTAGTTGTTTAGAGACGTAGGCCTCCGGCCTCAGCCAGGGCCCCACAGTTTGGGTTAAAAGTCCAGCTGCCATCTTTTCTCTCTCTGACACATACAATGGAAAAGGTTTTGTCAGATCGGGTAGCCCCAGGGCTGGGGCTGCCAGAAGTTTTTCCTTTAACTCATGAAAACCTTGCTGTTGTTGGGATCCCCATTCCAAAGCTTCCCGGTCCCCGCCCCCTTTGTGACCTCATACAAAGGCTTGGCTAATAACTGGAAAGTTTGGGATCCACTGTCTTCATAACCCCACAGCTCCTAAGAATTCTCTCACCTGCCTTCTGCCCTTAGGCTCTGGTAGATTGCAAACGACCTGCTTTCTTTGTGATCCCGGGCTGCATTCGGACCCCTGTCGGACAGTAAATCCCAAGTAAGGTACCTGCCATCGGTAGATCTGAGCTTTCTTCTTGGACACCTAATACCCACAGTCCTCCACTTGGGTCCTAAGGGTCTTAGGATCCACGATGGGGGTAATAGCCAGGGGGGGAAGAGGGGCTGGCTCTCAGTCCCCGCCTCGCGGGGGGTGCCTCCCCCCTCTGCGATGGGGGTTCCAAGAGCCAGGGGGGAAGAGGGGCTGGCTCTCAATCCCCACCTCACGGGGGGTGCCTCCCCCACTGCGATGGGGGTCCTAAGAGCCAGGGGGGGAAGAGGGGCTGTCTCTCAGTCCCTGCCTCGCGGGGGGTGCCTACCCCCCCTGCGGTGGGGATCCCAAGAGCCGGTGGGGAAGAGTGGCTGGCTCTCAGTCCCCGCCTCGCGGGCGGTGCCTCCCCACACTTCGATGGGGTTCCCAAGAGCCGGGGGGGTAGAGGGGCTGACTCTCAGTCCCCGCCTCGAGGGGTGTGCCTCCCCCCCCCGCTATGGGGGTCCCAAGGGCCGGGGGGGAAGAGGGGCTGGCTCTCAGTCCCCCCCTCGCGGGGGGTGCCTCCCCCCCCTGCGATGGGTGTCCTAAGAGCCAGGGGGGTAAGAGGGACTGGCTCTCAGTCCCCGCCTCGCGGGGGGTGCCTCAGCCCCCTGCGATGGGGGTCCTAAGGGCCAGGAGGGGAAGAGGGGGAGAGGATGATAATAATTTCAGCATCGCCGGCTGTGTTCACCCAGCCTGTGAAATTGTTATTAATATCCTGAAAGGGAGAGAATGATATTACTCCCCGTAATAGACAGATACGACTCCGCATAATAGAGCACGAGGTATACACCCACCCTGTGATATTCTTCCTCATATTCAGAGGCCAAGAAGTTGATATTACTCGTAATATCGCAGGACGTATACACCCTCGTGTTAGATGGTCCTTAATAATATTCCAAGGCGGAGTGGGCGATGTGACTACATATATGGCAGAAAGTGGAAACCCCCCTGGGATATTGTTCCCACGATCCTGGAGGGAAGAAAATGATATTACTTTCAATATGACAGAAGGTGGACATGCCACCACTGATATTGTTTCTAATTGCAACGTGGGAGAGGAGGATATGACACGCGATATCGCAGGGAGTAGAAACACCCCTGTGATACTGTT
The DNA here is from genome assembly GCF_000001405.40 of Homo sapiens. Taxonomy (NCBI): domain Eukaryota; kingdom Metazoa; phylum Chordata; class Mammalia; order Primates; family Hominidae; genus Homo; species Homo sapiens. Next base: position 31,121,948 of record NC_000012.12, on the reverse strand, counting down.
CTTAATATTCAGGGAGGAAGAGGATGATATTACTCCCAATACAGACGGGTGTACACCCTCTGTACACCAAGGGTGTACACCTGTCTGTGAAACAGTTCATAATCTCCAGAGGTCTCCAGAGGGGGAGATGATATTACTCACAATATGGTAAACAGGCTGTGAGTCCACTGCGGATCCTAAGAGCCAGGGGGGGAAGAGGGGCTGGCTCTCAGTCACCACAGTTTGGGGGGGCCTTTATGTTCAGGTTTTGCCCAAGAGTCAGCTTATTTGCTTCTAGTACTAGCAGAGTAGTTGCTGCCAAGGCCCTCAAACAGGGGGGCCATCCTGTAGAAACCCTGTCTACTTGTTTAGAGACTTAGGCCACCGGCCTCAGCCAGGTCCCCACAGTTTGGGATAAAAGTCCAGCTGCCATCTTTTCCCTCTCTGACGCATACAATGGAAAAGGCTTTGTCAGATCCGGTAGCCCCAGGGCTGGGGCTGCCAGAAGTTTTTCCTTTAACTCCTGAAAGCCTTCCTGTTGTTGGGATCCCCATTCCAAAGCTTCCCGGTCCCCGCCCCCTTTGTGACCTCATACAAAGGCTTGGCTAATACTGCAAAGTTTGGGATCCACAGTCTACAAAACCCCACAGCTCCTAAGAATTCTCTCACCTGCCTTCTGCCCTTAGGCTCCGGTAGATTGCAAACGACCTGCTTTCTTCCTGATCCCGGGCTGCGTTCGGACCCCTGTGGTATAGTAAATCCCAAGTAAGGTACCTGCGGTCGGCAGATCTGAGCTTTCTTCTTGGACACCTAATACCCAGGGTCCTCCAGGTGGGTCCTAAGGATCTTAGGATTCGCGATGGGGGTCTTAGCCAGGGGGGGAAGAGGGGCTGGCTCTCAGTCCCCGCCTCGCGGGGGGTGCCTCCCCCCCTGCGATGGGGGTCCGAAGAGCCTGGGGGGGAAGAGGGGCTGGCTCTCACTCCCCGCCTCGCGGGGGGTGCGTCCCCCCCCCTGCAATGGGGGTCCTAAGAGCCAGGGGGAAAGAGCCGCTGGCTCTCAGTCCCCGCCTCTCAGGGGGTGCCTCCAACCCACTGCGATGGGGGTCCGAAGAGCCTGGGGGGGGAAGAGGGGCAGGCTCTCAGTCCCCGCTTCGCGGGGGGAGCCTCCCCACACAGCGATGGGGGTCCCAAGAGCCAGGGGGGAAGTGGGGCTGGCTCTCAGTTCCCGCCTTGGGGTGTGTGTCTGCCCTGCTGCGATGGGGGTCCTAAGAGCAAGCGGGGGAAGAGGGGCTGGCTCCGGTAGATTGCAAATGACCTGCTTTCTTTCTGATCTCGAGCTGTGTTCGGACACCTGTCGGATAGTAAATCCCAAGTAACGTCGGCAGATCTGAGCTTTCTTCTTGGGCACCTAATACCCACAGTCCTCCAGTTGGGTCCTAAGGATCTTAGGATCCGCGATGGGGGTCCTAAGCCAGGGTGGGAAGAGGGGCTGGCTCTAGTCCCCGCCTCGCGGGGGGTGCCTCCCCCCTTGCTATGGGGGTCATAAGAGCCAGAGGGGGAAGAGGGTTTGGCTGTCAGACCCCGCCTCGCATGGGGTGCCTCCCCCCACTGCGATGGGGGTCCGAAGACCCGGGCGGGGTCGGGGGGGGCGGAGAGGGGCTGGCTCTCAGTCCCCGCATCGCGTGGGGTGCCTCCACCCCCTGCGATGGGGGTCCCTAGAGCCAGGGGGGGAAGAGGGGCTGTCTCTCAGTCCCCGCGTCGCGGAGGGTGCCTCTCCCCCTTGCGATGGGGTTCCCAAGAGCCAGTGGGGGAAGAGGGGCTGACTCTCCGTCCCCGCCTCGCGGGGTGTACCTCCCCCCACTGCGATGGTGGTCCCAAGAGCCAGGGGGGAAGTGGGGCTGGCTCGCAGTCCCCGCCTCGCATGTGGTGCCTCCCCACTCTGCGATGGGGGCCTAAGAGCCAGAGGTGAAGAGGGGCTGGCTGTCAGTCCCTGCCTGGCGGGGGTTACCTCCCCCTCTGCGATGGCAGTCCTAAGAGACGGGGGAAAGAGGAGCTGGCTCTCAGTACCCGCCTCGCGTGGGGTGCGAAGCGCCTGCGATGGGGGTCCTAAGAGCCCGTGGGGGAAGAGGTGCAGGCTCTCCGTCCCTGCCTCTCGGGGGGTGCCTCTCCCCCCTGCGATGGGGGTCCTAATAGCCAGGGGGGGAAGAGGGGCTGGCTCTCAGTCCCCGCCTCGTGTGGGGTGCCTCCCCTCCCCGCGATGGGGATCCCAAGAGCCGGGGAGAAGTGGGTCTGGCTCTCAGTTCCTGCCTCGCAGGGGGTGCCTCCCCCCTCTGCGTTGGGTGTCCTAAGAGCCGGGGGGGGGGGAAATGGGCTTGCTCTCAGTCCCCGCCTCGCGGGGGGTGCCTCCCCCCACTGCGATGGGGGTCCTAAGAGCCACGGGAGGAAGAGAGGCTGGCTCTCAGTCCCTGCCTCGCGGGGGGTGCCTTCCCCACCCGCGATGGGGCTCCTAAGAGCCAAGGGGGGAAGACGGGCTGGCTCTCAATCCTCGCCTCGCCGGGTGGCCTCCCACCCTGCGATGGGGCTCCTAAGAGCCACGGGGGGTAGAGGGGCTGGCTCTCAGTCCCCGCCTCGCGGTGGGTGCCTCCCCGCCCTGCGATGGGGGTCCGAAGAGCAGGGGGAAGGAGAGGGGCTGGCTCTCAGTCCCCGAATCGCGTGGGGTGCCTCCACCCCCTGCGATGGGGGTCCCTAGAGCCAGGGGGGGAAGAGGGGCTGGCTCTCAGTCCGCGCCTCGCGGAGGATGCCTCCCCCACTTGCAATGTGAGTCCTAAGAGCCAGAGGTGGGAGGGGCTGGCTCTCAGTTCCCGCCTCGCGGTGTGTGCCTGCCCCGCTGCGATGGAGGTCCTAAGAGCAAGGGGGGGAAGAGGGGCTGGCTCTGGTAGATTGCAAATGACCTGCTTTTTTTCTGATCCCGAGCTGCGTTCGGACCCCTGTCGGATAGTAAATCCCAGGTAAGGTACCTGCGGTCGGCAGGTCTGAGCTTTCTTCTTGGACACCTAAAACCCCCAGTCCTCCAGGTGGGTGCTAAGGATCTTAGAATCCGCGGTGGGGGTCCTAAGCCAGCGGGGGAAGAGGGGCTGGCTCTCAGTCCCCGACTCGTGGGCGGTGTCTTCCCCCCTTGCGATGGGGATCCTAAGAGCCAGGGGGGGAAGAGGGGCGGGCTCTCAGTGCCCGCCTCGCTGGAAGTGCCTCCCACCCATGAGATGGGTGTCCTAAGAGCCAAGGGGGGGGAATAGGGGCAGGCTCTCGATCCCCGCCTCTCGGGGGGTGCCTCCCCCCCTTGCGATCGGGGTCCCAAGGGCCAGGGGGGGAAGAGGGGCTGGCTCTCAGTCCCCGTCTCTCGGGTGGTGCCTCCCGCCACTACGATGTGGGTCCTAAGAGCCGGGGGTGGGAGGGTCTGGCTCTCAGTCACCGCCTCGTGAGGAGTGCCTCCCCCGCTGCGATGGAAGTTCTAAGACACAGGGGGGGAAGAGGTTCTGGCTCTCAGTCCCCGCCTCGCGGGGGGTGCCACGCGCCTGCATTGGGGGTCCTAAGAGCCATGGGGGGGTAGAGGGGCTGGCTCTCAGTCCCCGCCTCGTGGGGGTTGCCCCCCCCCTGCGATGGGGGTCTCAAGAGCCTGGGGGGGAAGAGGGGCTGGCTCTCAGTCCCCGCCTCTCCGGGTGTGCGTCCCCCCCCTGCAATGGGGGTCCTAAGAGTCAGGGGGAGTGAGCGGCTGGCTCTCAGTCCCCGCCTCGCAGGGGGTGCCTCCCCCGCCTGCGATGGGGGTCCGAAGAGCCTGGGGGGGAAGAGAGGCAGGCTCTCAGTCCCCGCTTCGCGGGGGTTGCCTCCCCGCACAGCGATGGGGGTCACAAGAGCCAGGGGGGAAGTGGGGCTGGCTCTCAGTTCCCGCCTTGCGGTGTGTGCCTCCCCCCCTGCGATGGGGGTCCTAAGAGCCAGGGGATGAAAAGGGGCTGGCTCTCAGTCCTCGCCTGGCGGGAGTGCCTCCCCCCCCGCGATGGGGGTCCTAAGATCCTGGGGGGGAAGAGGAGCTCTCTCTCAGTCCCCGCCTCGCGGGGGGTGCCTCCGACTCCTGCGATGGGGGTCCTAAGAGCCAGGGGGGTAAGAGGGGCAGGCTCTCAGTCCCCGCCTCGCTGCGGGTGCCTCCGTCCCTGCGATGGGGGTCCTAAGAACCAGGGAGGGAAGAGGGGCTGGTTCTCAGTCCTCGCCTCGCGGGGAGTGCCTCCCTCCACTGCGATGGGGGTCCCAGGAGCCAGGGGGGAGGTGGGGCTGGCTCTCAGTTCCCGCCTCACGAGGGGTGCCTCCCCCCACTGCGATGGGGGACCTAAGAGCAAGCGAGGGGAAGACGGGCTGGCTCCGGTAGATTGTAAATGACCTGCTTTCTTTCTTTTCCCGGGCTGCGTTCGGACCCCTGTCGATTGTAAATCCCAAGTAAGGTACCTGCCGTGGGCAGATCTGAGCTTTCTTCTTGGACACCCCATACCCACAGTCCTCCAGGTGGGTCCTAAGGATCTTAGGAACCGCGATGGGGGTCCTAAGCCCGGGGGGAAGGGGGGCTGGCTCTCAGTCCCCGCCTCGCGTGGCGTGCCTCCCCCGCTTGCGATGCGAGTCCTAAGAGCCGGGGGTGGGAGGGACTGGCTCTCAGTCTCCCCCTCGCGGTGGGTGCCTCCCCGCCCTGCAATGGGGATCCTAAGAGCCAGGCGGGGAAGAGGGGCTCTTCTCTAAGAATCAAAACACTGTCACCTTTAGCAGTGAAGGATCCAGTGAGATCCAGTTTAACGGTCATAACCGCCTACTGGTCCAACGTTCAGAAGTAACACAGGCACCTGGACAATACACAGTAGATGTGGAAGGACGCGGTTGTACATTTATCCAGGTTACAGAAATCTGCCTAAGAGGGTGATGAGTGTTTGCCAGTAAAAGAGTCAGACTGTCTGTTCAGTTCTACGTGAAGTGTTATTTGACCGTTTTGTGTATTTACATGATCAATAGCCAAAATTGCAAGTTACTTTATGAAAAGCTACTCAGCTGTCTAAGAGAAGTTTGAGGAATATTGCTATTAGAAAGTATTCTATCTTCATTAAATTACGTTATTCTGAAAACTAAAGAATTTAACCTGATTCCCTGATGATAAAGATGTAAACTGCATTAGTAATAGAAATAAACAATAGGTTCTTTCTTTTTAAAAATGTTTTATTTTTAATTTTTGTGGGTACATAGTAGGTGTAAATATTTACCGGGTGCATGATACAGGCATGCAATGTGTAAGAATCACATCAGGGCAAGTGGGGTATGCATCACCTCAAGCATTTATCCATTGTGTTACAAATGATCGAAGTATACTCTTAGTTATTTTAAAATGTAAAATCACATTACTACTGACTATAGTCAGACTGTATAATTCTTAATACAGGATGGGTTTTCTTATAATTTGCTATCCTTTCTAGGCCACCCTTAAGTACAATGTTCTCCTACCTAAGAAGGCATCTGGATTTTCTCTTTCCTTGGAAATAGTAAAGAACTACTCTTTGACTGTTTTTGACCTCACAGTGAACCTCAAGTAAGTGTCATATTTTGACAGTAACTCCCACGTGAACAAGATGGTAAAATATTTTAAAAGTTCAAACAGTAGTGAAATAACAAAATATAAATCATGGTAATGAGTTCTCATGTTGGTGGTGACAATTCTACAGCACAGTCACTTTTTAGCCGTCTGTCCGGACACCACAATTTAGTACATCTTCAGCTAAATCAGAGCTAAAATGAGGCAAGAAAACATGCAGTCTATGTGAGCAGGATTTGAAAGCTTTCACTGCACTGATGTTTCAATGATACTTTTTATTCTGTTGTATGGAAGTACTCCTAGTTTTGAAAAACAGAGATTCTATATTTCTTTCTCAAGACAAGCATGCATGGTCATATAGTAGCAAGCCCACAAATGTTTATTTTGTAACTGTAAAGAGTAACATTTTAGATTTTTACTTTTCAGAATAGAAAAACGAAATGATCCTCTTGAATTCAAGCATGATTTATAGATGCTAAAGGCTTTTAGCCTTAGTTAATATGTGGAAAACATTGAGTAAAATTAGTTTGGGAGATATTTTTTAGAATTTCTAAATAAAAATCGCTTGAGCTCCAGGGCTAAGAACTCAATGAATTGGGGAACTCTTTTTCTTTTTTGGTTTTTTTTTTTTTTTTTTTTTTTTGAGACAGAGTCTTACTTTGTCACCCAGGCTGCAGTACAGTGGCACAGTGGCACAATCTCAGCTCACTGCAACTTCCAGCTCCTGGGTTCAAAGGATTCTTACGGCTCAGCCTCCTGAGTAGCTGGGATTAGAGGCGTGCACCACCACATCTGGCTAATTTTTCTATTTTTAGTAGAGTCAGAGTTTTGCCATATTGGCCAGGCTGGTCTTGAACTCTGACCCTCAAGTGATCCACCCACCTTGGCCTCCAGAAGTGCTGGGATTACAGGTGTGAGCAACCACGCCCTGATGAACTATGGAACTCTTAACTTCATACCCCAATAGTCTTATCCAGAAGCAGGAAACTGAGCTAGAAGTTCTCCTGGGGACACATCTACTCTATAATTATGCTCATATACCACCTTTTAAGCAAAGATGTCCTCTAAGTGTTACGCAACTCTAACACTAACCTAAGTATATGTAAAAGATTTAGAAGCTCTGTTTATCAGTTCAAACTTTGAGACTGCAGGTAAGCTTAAAAGCAGGGTTTGGGGAAGATTTCATGTCCAGATAATTCATTATTTGCTCCAATTTCTGTTGCTATGTATCATCTCTTTCATTATCATTCTGGTTGTGCCTATTCACAGATGCTTGAAAATGACTTTCTTCCGATATTTTCTCTTCAGCTTTTACCTGTCCTCCAGATTTCTAGCCAATTAGTATTTATCCACCTGGCACTCTCATTATGAGATAAGTCACTTTTTAAAATTGATATCTAAACGAGTGTTTTCTTAAAATTTTCAGATACACTGGAATTCGCAATAAATCCAGTATGGTGGTTATAGATGTAAAAATGCTATCAGGATTTACTCCAACCATGTCATCCATTGAAGAGGTAAATAATAGAAGCCTAATCTTTCATCACAAAGACAGCTACATAGAGTATAAAGATAAAATAAATACTTGTTTAGCCGTAGTTTAGCAAAACAAAACTATAGAATTCTTCTTCAACATTCACCTTTGTATTTTTGCGCTAACACTGGAGAGCTGGTGTACTTCATTTGTACCAATTAGCAGTCAGTATTTCCCATGGTTCATCATATGTTTTTCTTTAGTTGCTACCTGTGTTTATGAAAACATCATGGCACCAAGGAATGTTCCATAAAACAGAACGTGACGTAGAAAAGAGTGGACATTCAGTTCTGCAGTGGCGCTGTCATTTGTTCTAATATCTATTCTCTATCCTTCCCTAACAATTTCTTCAAAGCTTGAAAACAAGGGCCAAGTGATGAAGACTGAAGTCAAGAATGACCATGTTCTTTTCTACTTGGAAAATGTAAGTTTAGCCATATTTTTTTTTCTTTAAAGTTTTTCTTTTTTCCTTCCAAGGATAATTGGATGCTTCAATTTCTTATAGATATGTATGATAGGATTTGTAAAAGGAAAAAATAAGGGACGTTAAGGATTACCAGTGTTTTATCCCACTGATCATCTTCTCCTTGCTAGTTCCAAGGCTATTTCATATATGCCCTGGCTATGTGACTAGATAGCTTTCCATTTTAGAAACATCATCTCCCTATCAAACACAGTCTGGTCACAGAGTAGATATGTAATTATTTTATAATTTGACTAAAGTCTTACAAAGTTTGCCATAATTTTTTGAAATTACAATTGTGTATTGAAGGTATGTGGTGTGATGTTTTGATATATATAGTGAGCTGATTGTTATCATCTAGCGTGACTATATGTGAATTAGCTGGCTAACACATCCCTCTCTTCACACAGTTACCTCTTCTTTTTTTGTGACAAAGCACTTAAGATCTACTCCCTTAGGGAATATTACATATACAGTACAGCATTGTTAACTGTAGGCCACCGCTGTACCTGAGATTTGTAGAATGTATTCATCCTGCACAGCTGAAGCTTTCTATCCTTTGACCAGCATCTCCCCATTTTCCCATCCCTGATAACTGCCATTCTACTGTCTGCATCTATGAACTCAACTTTAGATTTAACTTACAGGTGAGATCCTGCAGTGTTTTTTGTGTGTATCTGGTTTGTTTCATTCCACATAATGTCCTCCAAGTTCTTCAGTGTTGTTACAAATGGCAGAAATTCTTTCTTCTTTTAAGGCCGAATAATTTGTATGTGTATATGCCTCAGTTTCATTATCCATTCATCTGTTTCGAACGCTTAGGTTGATTCCTTATGTTGGCTATTGTGATTAATGAAAGAATTAGCATGGGACTGCAGCTGTCTCTTCAAAATATTCATCTCATTTTCTTTGGATGCATACCCAGAAATGGGATTGCTGGATCATAGGGTAGTTCTATTTTTATTTTACTGAGGAAATGCCAAACTATGGCATGCGCTTTAGAGACATCCTTTCTATGTGTATTGTTACCACTCACATAAATGCCTACATTCCTCTGAGACTTCCAGCTAAATTCCTCTCACCTCAATGTAAGCAAAGGAACTTGAAATTTTATATGATTTAAGGTTAACAACTCATTATTTTGCCAATATGTAAGTTAATCATACCCTAGATCTATTTAATTATGTAGATCATAAACTTCTGCGGATAATTTTCTCAGTGATTATCTTTTCTCAGACCTGCTACAATGTAATTATAATTTGTGTCATGATAGGTTTTTGGTCGAGCAGACAGTTTCACTTTTTCTGCTGAGCAGAGCAACCTTGTGTTCAACATTCAGCCAGCCCCAGGCATGGTCTACGATTAGTACGAAAAAGGTAGGCAAGCAACAGCCATGCCCTAAGGTTATTGAATGTGGTGTTTATATCTAACATTCCCTGAGCTACTAAACTTTCCAAAATCAACCTCTGTCTTCACAGAGTAAACAATAAATGGCATTACTTTGTGTTCTGGTTTCTTTATCCCATGATGTGTCTTCTGACTGAACCCATTTTCCAGTTACCAGAGTTTTTCAACACCAGAATCCTTGCAATATAACCTGACAGGGCTCCACTTGAACTTGAAATACAAGCCACACTAAGCTTCCAGGTCTTTTTGTTATTGTCATTGTTGTTCATGCTAAGACTGACTGTTCCAAGCTACTTCTGTGGACTTTGACTTAAAAAGAGGAGTGGGGAATATTCTGAAATGTTAACTTAAAAATTTGATAGATTAATTTCTAAAACATATACTAAAATGTTGTAGAGACCATACAACTGTTCCCTGGAAGGTTGGTACTATTTATTTCTTGTTGAATGCTGTGTGAAGTTTGTGGAGTGTTTGAATTCTGTCTCTATCATTTACTAATAGAATATATTTCATCAAGTGTCTTAAATATTATTAGCATATTTCTGCATAATGTATAAAATGGGAAAGTAATTGTCTCTATTTCAAAATTATTGGAAGGATTAGATCTAATGTGCTTATATCATCTATTTAATAAAAATACATGTTCCCTTTATTTTTTCAGAAGAATATGCCCTAGCTTTTTACCACATCAACAGTAGTTCAGTTTCCGAGTGAGACAAAGCAATTACTGGAAGAAGTAAAGAAATTTTATTACGTCATAAACCATTGAAAACACATCTAGTAAGAAAATGAAAACCTGAATAAGATAGGACAATAGTTGAAGAAAGAAAAGTCTCTGGTACTTCATTAGACTTGTGTAGCTGTGTACTGCATGAGTAATCTGATAATCATTAAGATTATATTAATTTCTTTAAAAATAGCTTTAAAGAATTCACAGCTATATATGTACCTTTTATAAATCTCTCATTTTTGTTTTGTAAGTTGACAGGTCAGTAAAAATTTAGGCATATATATTTGTACATATGTGTGTATATGTATATACATGTCTATGTGCCTATATATGCATGTTTTTATTTCTAAATATCTATTTATATATACATACAAATGTGTTTATTGTTTAAATGATGTTTTAAATCCCAGGTGGAGAAGCATTTCTTTTAACAAACTGATTCTTCTGTATCAAACCTGGAAAAAAATCATGAACCATCTGACATCGTGAACAGTCTGCAGTGGGCTATGGTTTCTTGACAAGTCTTATTTCCTTATCATCCCATTAAATGTTGTCATTTTGCATCTGAGTCTATGACTTTTTTTTCTTCCAGTACTCTATTCACAGTTTTAATCCTAGAAAACGCAGGGATTTTTTTTTGACAGCAACTTGAATAATTTGCTGTATGGCTGTCAACTCTAAATTTGAGTATTTAGACATTATGGAACACAGAGTTAAATTCTTCCATATACAAAGAAAGAGAGAGAGAGAAGTGGGGGAAGAGAAAGAAGGAGACTAAGTGAAAGTTGAAATGGACTCCATGTTAATTCAAGGAAACGAAAATAAACGCACAAAACACGTAGACTTGAATGTATCTTCCAAGATCAAATCTGCCTCAGGCCTAATCCAACGTTGCCCATCCCGTTGGAGCAAAGGCATTGCTTGTGCAGAGGATCGGCCAGGACGTCCTATGCTTGCATCCTTACTCACCAGGTAAACACGCTCCTCATGCTCCAGATGTAGCCAGTTGTCACCCCCGGGGGATACTGGTCAGGTACTCAGGGATGGTTAAGAAATGGTTGTGGCCCGCCTCAGACCACCCCACGCAGTGGGCTGAGTCAATTTCCAAAGCGCAGAGACAGCATTGCAAAGGCACAGTGTGCCGGGATGGGCCCTGGACATACACTGTGCAATCCATCTCAGATGAGGTATTGGGAGCAAGTTGGTGTGTCCCAGGCCACAGGCACTTCTCACATCCCACCTGAGTGGGAGCCATCACAGGCTAGCATCCTCTTGTCCTGCCCTGATCCTGGTTTTCTGCCTGGCTTTGCAGAAAACCTGGAAGGATCCTGGGGGAGACATCTCACAGAAGACAGTCCCAGAACATGGAATGTGACCTTGTTTGGAAATTGGGTCTTTGCATATGTTACCAAAGTAAGAGAAGCTCACAGTGGATTAGAGTGGGCCCCACCTAGTCTAATGATTGCTGTCCTTAACACACACATCCACACACACACACACACACACACACACACACACACACACGCGAATGTGCCCGTGAAAAAGGGAGGCAGAGGTTAGAGTGATGTGTCTACCAGGCATGGGAAGTGAATGGTTGCCAGAAACCAGCAGAAGCCAGGAGAGAGCCATGGAGTTGATCTGCCTCACAGCCTCTAGTTGGAACTCATCCCGTCAATACCTTGATTTTGCACTTCTAGCCTTCTCAACTGACAGAATAAACTCCTGTTGTTTAAAACCAGCCAGGTGTGGCATGTTTTCACAAGAGCCCTAGGAACCCAATACATCGACTTTCAAGGGCCGCATCCCACTGACTTCGAAGCAGGCCTGGATCTGTGTGTTGTCTCAGTTCTGGGAGCTCCCATGAGCCTGCAGAGAGACTGCAGGGTCTTCCTGGACAGTTCCTGAGGAGGAAAGAGAGACTCAGAGGATTGCCCCGATGTTGCCCCTCCCTCCTCCTAAACTCTGCTGGGCTCTCCCACTCCCCCAGGAAGACTTACTTCCCTGCTAACTTCTGCCCTGCAAGTTGACCCTGACATTTTCAAGTGCCACCCGCCCCTGTGAACTTGAATGGATTGCGCTGTTCTTTGCACAAGAACAGAAACGTCTGCCTGGAGTGCAGCTTGTGCTAGTGGCTGGGACTTCCCTGACACACAGCTCCCCTTATCTGTTGTGGAGCGGTCTCACTGACATCTGAGCAAGCAACTGGAAGAAGCTTCAGCCCCAGTTCTAAAAGTTCACAGTGACTGACAGCTGGGGTTGAGACAGACCCGCCTTCTGTAGGTGGACTTTGGCGCTGGCCTTAGTTATCCTTTTATAGACATTACCTTTGGAGGGGGCACAATTTTCACCCTCCTGCCCTGCCAGTGTGGCAGAGTATTTTTTATTCTTTGTATCCAGTTATTTCTTGGTGTTTCTTGGTGAATTGAATGGAAGATATGCTTTTTCCTAAGCATGGCTATGGCACAAGAGGCTTTCTGAAGCAGCTGCTCAGGTGGCTCAGCCTGGAAACTGGGGCAGGCTGTGAGGGAGAGTCTTCCTGAGCCCTCAGTATGTCATCCACGAGGGACAGGATGGGCTCTGGGGACTTGTTCTTCACCCCTTCCAGAGCTGAAACCAGAATGAGACTACCTGTGTCTCCAAAAAATAAAAAAAATTATCTGGGCTTGGCAGCATGCACCGGTAGTCCTAGCTACTTGGGAGGCTGAGGCAGGAGGACTGTTTGTGTGTGCCCAGGAGTTTGAGGATACAATGAGCCATGATCGCACTTAAGCCTGGGTGACAGAGAAGGACCCTGTCTCTTAAAAAAAAAAAAGAAGAAAAAGGAAAAGAAATCACCTTGTTTGTGAATAGAGACAATTTCTTTCTTTCTAATCTTACTACCTTTATTTTGTGTCATTTTCTTCCCTTATTGTATTGGCTAGGACTTCCAGTACCATGTTGGATAGGAGTGATGATGAGAGTAAACATCCTTGCCTGGTTCTCAAATCTTATGGGGAAGGCAATCAGGTTTTCATCACTAAGTAAGATGTTTGCTGTAGGCTTTTTGAAGGTGCCATACATCAGGTTAAGAAGCTTGCTTCTATTCCTAGTTTGCAGAAAATCTGTAATAGGAAAATATGTTGAATTCTGTAAATTTTTTTTCTATATCAATTGATGTGATCATGTTGATTTTCTTGTTAGATTATTACTATGGCAGATTACATTGACTGATCTTCAAGTATTGAAGCAGTCTTGCATTCCCAGGAAAAACCCACTTGGTTATGGTGTATTCCAAGGACTACATACACACACACACACACACACACACACACACACACACACACACACACACGCACACACATTCCAGAAGTAGCACAAGTTCAAAATACAAAACTCAATTTCATTTGTATATACTAACAATAACTAACAGAAAATCAACATTTTAAAATAATTGCATTTGTACTATCTCTGAAAAAATGATTAAGTCTATATAAGATCTGTATGCTGAAAATGTACAAAATGCTGTAAACAAAATCACAGAAGACCTAAATCAATGAAGAAATACATGGATCCATGGGTAGAAATACTTAATAAAGACTTCAATTCTTCCCAAATTGTGCTTCCCAAATGTGCTGGGATTATAGGCATGAGACACCATACCCAGTGATAAGAACTTATGATTTATTTATTTATTTATTTATTTATTTTTGAGACAGAGTCTTGCTCTGTCATCCATGCTGGAATGCAGTGGCGGAATCTCAGTTCACTGCAACGTCCGCCTCCTGGGTTCAAGTGATTCTCCTACTTCAGCTGCATGAGTAGCTGGGATTACAGGTGTGTGCCACCACATCAGGCTAATTTTTTGTATTTTTTTTTTTTTTTTTTTTTTTTAGTAGAAATGGGGTTTTGCCATGTTGGCTAAGCTGGTCATGAACTCCTGGCCTCAAATGAGCCTCCCGCCTTAGCATCCCAAAATGCTGGGATTACAGGCATGAGCCACTGTGCCCAGCCAAGAACTCTTTTAAAAAAAAAGCAAAATTGCAATACCATTATCATACCAACCATCGCACACTACTATTCTTTAATACTACCAACTACCCTACTGTCTCCAAATTTCCAGTAATTTCATTTTTTTGTTAGTTTGTTTGAATCAAAATCCAAATAAAGTCTCTCCTTATGATTGTTTGATTTGCCTGTTAGTATTTCTGGATCTATAGGTTTCTCCTTTCATCAATTGTTTCTCCTTTGCAATTTATTTATTGAAGAAACAAGACTGTTTCCCTGTATTTCAGATCTTGCTAAATGTGCTTCACTTGGGGGACCCCAGCATGAAGTATGTGACTGCCTGACTCAGGCCCCTCTCCTGGTCCAAGTCACCCCCACCCGGCCCCATCCCTGGTTGTTGCCAGACCTGGAGTCCCTGCTCCTTCACTAGTGCAGCCTCCTCTTCTGTCACCAACTACAGTCAGGAGGTGACAGGGATGAGGCTGCCGTCAGGGGATTTTCAGGCAGAGAGGGTTGGGTGAGACAAAGAAAACGACAGGACATGGTGACAGATTAGGAACAAGAACGAAGGAAAGGGAGGAGTCAGCCATGACTGGGAGTAAGGTGGGAGCGCCGACACCTCTCCCCCTCCACTTGCCCCCATCCTGCAGCAATGGACAAGCATGTGGGCTTTTCATTTTCTGTGGGCTTTTTCAGTGGGGATGTGACGTGCTCCTCCTGCTTGGACACCTCCTGCACAGAAGAGACAGGTGGACAGACCTTCCTCCTTGCCCCTTGTCCTCACTTCCTCCATCCTTCTCTCCCATTCTACTGATTGATTGGCATCTGGTGGCCCCCAAGGTTACACAGCACTGGATCAGCTGCCTGCATAATTAATTAGCAAATCATTCTTTTTTTCTTTTTTGAGACGGAGTCTCACTCTGTCGCCCAGGCTGGAGTGCAGTGGCGCAATCTCCACTCACTGCAAACTCCGCCTCCTAGGTTCACGCCATCCTCCTGCCTCAGCCTCCCGAGTAGCTGAGACTACAGATGTGTGCCACCACGACTGGCTAATTTTTTTTGTATTATTTTTAGTAGAGACAGGATTTCACCGTGTTAGCCAGGATGGTTTTGATCTCCTGACCTTGTGATCCACCTGCCTCAGCCTCCCAAAGTGCTGGGATTACAGGCATGAGCCACCGCGCCTGGCCAGCAAATCATTCTTAATTACCCCAGAGTGGAAGAGAACAAAGGTAAAGACAAGAGCCCAGGTTCAGGATCTGCTTCTTTGGGGTCATGACAGATGCGAGGGAAGCAGTGAATCTGGATCAGGAGTGGGTGCTCCCTGCTCCCTCCTCCCCAGTAGCCTCTAGGCCAGCTGCTAGTCCAACTCCGAAATCCACCACCCCTCAGCCACCCAGCCCTCCCAGGAGAAGCTGAAGTCCTTTCCTGTGTGTGTGAGCGCCAAGCTGGAGCCCAAGGATGACATGGAGGAGGCGCTTGGGGGGTCTCCCCAGGTCTCCATGCTGCTCGTCAACATCAGAGAGATCCTGTGTAGCAGAAAATGGAGTCGCAGGGTGTGGGTGCAAGACTCAGCCTGACTTAATGGGGTCCTAGGGCATCACACTCAGGTGCAGCACAGAGGTGGGAGCCAGAAGGTGACCAGGGTGGCTTGGCTCAGTGGCCTGGGACCCCTCAGTGCAGTGTCCCTGATGACATGGGAGAGGTAGGTCAGGAACATGGTCCCAGGACAGCAGGTGCCGGCTTGCCTGACCTCCACGTCGCCCCTGTAGATACAAGAAGTCTGTCTTCCCAGACGGACTGGCTGGTGCTGTAACAAAGACCCATGTGATGCTGGGGGTAGAGACAGATAAACTGTTCAGTGCCCCTTGTCCATCAGTGAGAGAGCAGCTGGAGCAGAAGGTGGAGAGGGAGGGGCAGGTGCAAGGGCTGGGGGCCCTGCCAGGCTCCTCTCTAGGAGAGGCTCTATTGAATCCCTTATGCCACCACAGCTGTGCAGGGTGCACATGAGGTCTCGCTAGCTGCTCCTGCAGGTCCCTGTCACCTCTCACATGTCCCCACCTAATCCCATGGGTCCCAGAGAACTACTTCTACATGCCAGACCTGGGCCAAGTCCCCCAAGGTCGATGTGCCATCCTACCTGACCTGCCTGGCAGACCTCAAGTATGGTGCCAGCCTGGGCCCCAGCATCACCCACTCTGCCCTGGCACCAGGCTCAAGTCGCTCAAGCCCAGTGAGCTGGGTGTTAGGATGGCAGCCAGGCTCCCTGCTCAGTCACCTCCTTCCCTAGGCACCCCACACTTTCTCCCATTTCCACTTCCTACCTATAAGATGGCACGTTAACAGCACCCCAACCTCCCCCAGCTGCTGCGGTGCTGGTCAGTGCACCCTCATCCCCACCCCAGGCCCCGGCCACTGCAGTCCAAGGCGCCGGGCAGGACGACAGCAGCAGCATCCCCTTCAGGAGGGAGCTCTCTGAGGCCACCTCAGTCTCATTTCTGGATCCCTGGCGGATTTTCTGTGGGGTTGTTAGCTGGTCAGAAATCCCTTATTTTTTTTAATAGTTGTCATTTCTTGTTCTACTTGGCTCATAAAATAGTGGTTTTCAAATTGTAGCTCCCTGGAATTCTCACCTCTACGGTAGAGGGAGCCTGGACAAGGGTGGCCCTGGGGCCCCCATTCCTAAACCAAGGAGAAAAAAGGGTCTAATAACAAAAACACTACAGGGGACAGGAACACGGAGCCGGGGGTCAAATGTGACTGAACCCCACACCCCACTCCGTGGCTTTCCTATTGCAGTGAGAGCCGTAAGCCAAGGCAGGGAACTGATGTGGGATCTCTTCAACAAGCTGGTCCTGAGACGCAAGGGTAGGAGGCAGGGCCGCTGTCTGCCATGGGCTGTGGCATCGTTAATTCTCTCTTGCCTTTTTCTTCCTGTGTTTAAGTCTCTGGGGCCTGGGGAAACCAGTGCTCCCCACAGACCTCCCTCACTCACCCTTTCCCCTCCAGCCTTTTCACCTCTGGGGCTGGTGAGGGGCCGGGAGGAGAGAGCCCGTATGTCAGACAACAAACCGTCTCTGCTAACCCCCAGCAGCCACAGGCAGAGGAAGAAGAGGACAACTGGAAATCCTAGCGGGCGCCGCCATGCCTTCCTCCCCTAAACCCAGACTCTAGCCATGGCCCGGACGTGGACACAGCCAGAATGGGATCCTCAGCCCTGCTGCCCTGGAAGGGGCGGGGATGAAACTGTCCCAGGTCTGTGTGGAGACCACCTTCGGGGAGCGGGAGGCTGGCTTGAGGCCACGCAGCTGGGGTGGGGGCTTCCGTCTGCCTGTGCTCCATCGGAGGATGGCTCCACCCAGCCCCTGCACCAGTGCGCTCCTCGATTCCCTAAAGAGGCTTCCAGAGAAAACAGCAGCACATATCAATAAAAAACTCAGCAGAAACCAACAGCACACTTTTATTTAAGGACCTATAGCTGTGCAGGATGCAAACATCTGGGCATCAGTGACTTTCCTCCTGCCCCCGTTTGTCCCTGATGGTGGCAGAAGATCCCAGCTGACCACAGCCCCTTTCTCTGGGGTCAGAGGGAGAAGACAGGCGCAGTCAGCAGGGGCAGCTGTTGCAGGTGGGAGGGATATTTTCCCACAGGAACAAAGGTCTCCGTGATGACACGGGGTCTCTATAGTCATGTTGAGAGCCTAACGGCCCTTGGCATAATTGCTGGTGTTGGGGTAGAAGGTGTCTTGGAGTTTGCTCAAGTGGTTGAGAGGGAGGGAGGTGCCATAGACTTGGAGGAACTGGCACGAAGCCAAGGATACAAATCCAGGCAGGGCTGTGGGACAGGATAGGGAGCAGGGCCTTCTACTGAAGGAGTGACTCAGGAAGGAGGAGGGGAAGGTGACAAGCCCCTGGGCAGGAGCCCTGTGGCCATGGATCATTTTAAATTGAGACCAGAGAGTGAGCAGTCCAGGGCAGCTATAACCTTGGCTAGAAAGGGCAGAGGCAGATGGGCCTGCTCCATCTCGCCTCTTAAGAAGGTGGGCAGGACGGAGATGCCACAGTGGATGCCACAGCTGCCACAGCCTCCTGCGGAGACCAGGAAGGAAGCCTGGCTCTCAGCCATGCAGGATGGAAAGAAAGATTCTATTCCAGGAGGGGAGCTGCCCTGGAACGCCCCAAGGACAGCCAGGACCCACTGTTCATTCAGGATTCCCCCATTTTCTCCTACGGGAGCTAACGCCTGTGCCTGGGTCCTGGCAGCACTCTGGACTCCACACTCTCCTCCTGGGTTTCACCTTTGTAACAGGATCCCCGCAGACCACGCCCACGACAAACACTGTCTCCAGCGGGCAGGACAAAGGAAGGGCACGGCGCCAGGCAGTGGTGTGGTTGCCCATCAGGAAGAGGCCGACTTCTCCCGGTGAAACTGGGCAGACAGAAGGCAGTGAGAAATGTGATCTCGGGGTGGGGAGGCTCTCAGAAAGAAAAAGGTAGGACTGACCTTCTGCACAGCAGCAATGGCGGGGCCAAAGGTAGCTTTGACCTCCACACGGGCTCGGATCCAGGCCGGCAGCTTGGCCAGGACAGGGGGCCGGGCATATCGCTGGTCCAGGAGCACTACGCTGGCAAAATCCTTCTGGTGCCTGATGGCCCTGCCTGCATAGGAACAGAGGCTGGGGCTCCGAGCAACACCTGCCTCCCCCCTACAGCACATTCCCACGGCGACCCCCTCCCCTTCCTCAGACTTATATAGGAAACAGGGCAGGCAACCCCTCTTTCCTGTTCTCCCTTTCTCCAGCCCCCATCTGTCCACCCAGCTGGAGGCAGCCAGGCTCACCTATGGACTGGTTGACGGCCTTCATGCACAGGTTCTCCACCAGAGCCTTCCCTGGGGGTGCCTGGCCGGGGGCTCTGGGCTGGGAGTGAAGGGGAAGACCCATCAGGACTGTTCCCTGCCTGCAGCTCCCCCTGGGAAAAGACCCTGCCAGGCTTTGGAGCCAGACCAGGAGGCTTCGTGGCCAATGCCAGCAGCAGGGGTCCAGGTGACATCACAGGGAAGATCAAGAGGGTGTGGAGGGGCATCCAAGCTTCCGGAGGGGGCAGGAGACGCCAGCGCAGCGGGGAAGGCCTGGCTGTATCAGCCCTGGGGGTGATGCCACTCCCACCCACTGCCTACTCTCCTGTCACCCTCTGTGACACTGGGGTCACTCACGAGGGTTTGATCCAAGTAGGCCATCTTCTCCTGCAGCTCTGCAGACCTGATGTTGGGGAAGGGCATGCCCACCATCACCACACACCTGGGCGGGGGAGACAAGAGCCCAGCAGGTGGACGTCAGGACCTCCCGGGTCATCACCCACGTCACCAGCTGCTCCGTTCTACCCCTTCCCTCAGCCTCTCCGACTGTGATCAAAACTCAGCCTCTCTCCACTCTGTACCTACCACCTGGAGAGGGCTTGTTCGGCTGAGAGATCCCGTCTAGGCCAATTGACTGGGTCCTGATACAGCAATGGGTAGCCTAAAATCCAACTGCTCTCCCAGGACCAAACCCAGAGCTGCTGAGCCCCTCCCTCCAGCTGGCTGGTCTGAGCAGTCGCAGCCCAGCTGTGGGCTCTAATGGCAGCAGAGAGCAGGCAGGGGCCCAGCTGCTGGGAGTGAGGGCCGGCCATGTATCACGGCCCAGGAGACGAGCAGAACCACTACTTACCGGCCTAGGTTGTCAGAGAAGTTGATCCCTTCACTCATCTTTCCTCCAACCACAGAGAGGAGCAGGGCCCCTGTCACCTGGCCTCTCTCCTGGCCACAGGCCTGTAGGAGAAACCCAGACGCTGAGTTGCTGAGCCAAAACTTGGATGACACCCACAACGTTTCCAGCTGCCACCCCCACACGATCTCAGACCCAAGCCCAGCATGACGCCCGCACCTGGATGCACCTGGAATATGCCAGCAGCACCTGCTCCACCTGGTGTGCGCTCTTAGGTTCCTGGAATATCTGAGAAAGACAGAGGACATTTCCCAGAGACAGGTTCAGGGTGCCAGGTCTCGAGTCTGCTCGTGGCCTTGTGTTTTCTGGCCAGGGGACTGGAGAACCTCACAGCCAGGGACTTTGGGGGAAATCCTCTGTAGTCAGGGACTGGGAGCGGTGGGGATGAGGAGCCAGAAGCCTGTCCTGACCCGATGAGCACGAGAGCTCCCAGGAGGACTCAGTGGCACTGTCCTCACAAGTGGGAAGGCTGCCGACAGGCCACTCACCTTCTTCCTGGCAGCCAGACGGCCCAGCAGGCCACCCTTCTCCCAGTGGGCATGGACCTGGCGCAGGTACTCGTAGGAGGGGAAGAAACAGACCACCCCTCCAGGAACCACACCGCACAGGTTACAGAGAATGCGACCCACCTCGTCCATCTAAGGAAGGAAAGGAGGGAGGGAGGGAGCCCCCATGGAGCAACCCCTCAGCCACCCACAAACCGCGTCTTCACCTTGAGACTCAAAACTGAGGAGAGACCCTCGGCAGGACTACAGCCAAGGAAGAGGACTTGGCTCCCCTGGGTGGGAACCACGGGGTGGTAGGTGCCACCTCCCACCAAACACACCCAGCCGCTGCTGCTGACTGCGCCTTTCTGACACATGTCACAGCACTAGCGTCCCTAGGGGGCCTCCCTATTGCCCTGGCACTGAGTCCTCCCTTCTTCTGTCCAGGGTCCTGATGGGCACCACAACGACAATCAGGGGCTGCACACCCCAGGCACACCACAGGAGATGCCCCCAAGCCCCACATCCCTACCCCCGGCAGGGGCAGATATAACCAAAGGGCAAGAGAGCCAAAGGGAACTAGCAGCTTTCTCCTGTGTGAGGCGTCCTCAGAGGATGCCTGGAGGTTTTATGAATACATATTTCGCAGCCTAAGGCGTGAGGGGCGGGGAAGCTCAGACCTTCCTCCATAAGCATCTAGATCGACGCCGCTCATTCTGTGTGGCTCTAAGCGGGTGTCCCTGTGCAATTTCCCCAACACTGAAAACACTCAGGGTGGGCCAGAGCGCCCCTGCCCCAGAAAACCCTTTGCTGCCTGAGGCCAGGCTGTGGTGCGGCGAGCTGGCTGGGACTGACCATCTGAGGCAGCTCTCTTTTCTGGAACGTGAATTCCAGCGGCTGGTTGGAGATCCCGCTGCAGATGACGAGGGGCAGGATGTTGTCTGGAGGGATCACGTGACCTGGTAAGAGCCAGGGAGGGGCCGAAAACTGGAGATGCAGGTGTGCTGCAAGACACTGCAGAGAGGGCATTTCCCTGCCCCATCATCCAGCACAGGAACAGCGACTGACAGCGCTCACCCGCCCACCATCACCAGTCACACTGGGCAGCAGGCAGCAGGGAGCAAAGCAGGAGAGCCTGGGCGAGCGCACGAAGGGTGAGGCTCCCACCCCGGGGTCTCCTCCGCCCCTGTGCCTGGTCGCAGTATGAGGTATTACCCACAGAAAACGGGGGCCAGAACCTGACCTCTAGCCTGCCCCACCCTGGGCACAGCTTCTCACCACAGGAAAACTCCACCACGCGCTCAGCTTCCACCCCGGCACAGGCCAGCAGCTGCTGCCGGAAGTCAGACACCTGTAGACCAAGGCCACAGCGTCACGGCCCCATGACCCCTCAGAGGCCCAGCAGAAAGGAAGCGAGAAGTCTGGGCTAAGAGACAGCAAGTACACACAAACTGAAAGAAGAGGTCAAAGAAAAGGCTGATGGCAAACTAACAAAAAGAAAAATGGTGACTGATACCCAGTGCTGGCAGTCTCGTTTAAACTATGTGCAGGAACAGCAAAGGAAATCCAGCAAATCTGGCACAGTCATTATCAACCCTGGCCATGCAGCAAAATCACCAGCGAAAATTTTCAAAAATACACATGGCCAGGCCCCAGCCCAAACTACTGAATAAGAATCTCCAGGCTTTCACCTGTTAGACTGGCAAAAATCCAAAAGTAACCACTCTGGAGAAACAGGCATTCCTAGACAGTACTGGTGGGATACAGAATGGTACAATTCTCATGAAATTTCACAGTAGTTAACAAATTAAACATATTTATACTTTTTAACCCAGGAATCCCATATTTAGGAGTCCAGTGAGAAGATACAGCCCACAAATACCAAACAGCATGTGCCCCCGGACCTTTCCCTGTAATCATGCGCCTGCCTATCCAGAGGGTACTGGTTGGATAAGCTCCCTACATCTGTCCAACAGAGAACCACGCAGCCCACTAGAGGAGCGATGGTCAGACAACTGACTAAGATGCCTTCTGTGTAAATAAAACAGGAAAGGGAAAAATGAAGACACGTTTTTGCTTATTTAGGGGAAAAAGAAAGACTGAAAGGATAAGCTAGTAAAACGGATTCCCTATGGGGGTGGGGAATGGGCTGGAAAGGGATGAGAGTGAGGCTTTCCTGAATAGATCTTTTTATATTGCTTTGACTTTTGAGCCATACAAATATTTACATATTTAAAAACTACAAGTCAGAAAAGAAAAAAGCAAATTCTAAAATTGAAAAGAAAATGAAACAAAAACAGCCTAGTTATCTATGAAACTGACAACAGAAGCACACGGAGAGAAGCCTGGTTCCACGTGACTTTAGAGCCTAGTGACCAGGCATCCTTAGTGGGTTACACTCTAAAGGCAAAGAGGAAAGGCAATTTCAATCAGATCTATTGTTAGAAGTAATATTGGTACTATGATTTCAAAACTTTTAAGTATATTATAGGATAGAGCAGATAAGTATGTTAATGTAGCACACATGTTCAGGCTTAAGAGAAAAAGAGGTACAATAAAAGGTCAAGTAAACAAATCCTTTGATTTTTACTTAGAAACACCAATATGGGCCAGGCGTGGTGGCTCATGCCTGTAATCCCAGCTCTTTGGGATGCCAAGGCTGGCGGATCACCTGATTTCAAGACCAGCCTGGCCAACATGGTAAAACCCCATCTCTACTAAAATACAAAAATTAGCTGGGTGTGGTGGCACATGCCTGTAATCACAGCTACTCAGGAGGTTGAGGCATGAGAATCGCTTGAACCCCGGAGGCAGAGGTTGCAGAGAGCCGTGATCAGGTCACTGCGCTCCAGCCTGGGAGACAGAGCGAGACTGTGTCTCAAAAAAAAAAAAAAAAAAAAAGAAAGAAAGAAAGAAATACCAGTATGGATTCATTCTGAAAACATTTCCTAGATCTGTCTACCAAAACGCCCCAGGAGCACGACAAACACCCTAGCACCCACAGCTTGACTTCTAAATGTCATTCCCCATTACAAGAAACCAGAGCAGCTTGGAGAAATGAATCAATCCAGTGTGGGGAAAGGACACCCATGGTGATCCCATGACATTCTGCTGTGCTGGAGGCGAGACTGACCGGGCCACGGGGAGGACCTGAGCTAGCAGGAAGGGGCTCTCACAATGTGAACGTCAGAAACAATAATTACTGTAAACAACTTTTAATATGCCGAATGAATAAAACTATGAATCTATCCATACAAAAATATAAAAATCAAAAGCTAAGGCAGCTGGGGCTGGGAAGCACTGCTTCAGGATTCCCAGCAGCTTTTTGTCCAGGAGGCCCTTCGCTAGGTAGGAGTCACCACTGTGCAGAAATGCGGTTATATTTATCACAGTCATGCTCAAAACAGAAAACTGCAAATAGCTTGCACACCTAACAAGAGAGAAGCAGCTACATGAAATGCTATATATCTGTGTAACTGGAATCCAGCACAGCTGGGATACTGAAATACGTGCATGCTTGCTGACAAGGAGACAGGGTTTATGACCCTCTGGCTGCTGAGTGAAAAGAGCAAGTTCCAGTGACAGCACATGGAGGGAGCCGTACTTTTGTTTTTAAAACAGCTATGCACATAAGTAAAAATTACGCCTACAAAGACTATTATATTCATATACATCAAAATGAACCTTTTAAAAGTGGAATCATGATTTTTTTCCTTGAGTTTGAAACCACAGAACAGCTTTCTCTGGGAGACATGTGATCCTGGGGCTACAGAATGGAGCAGCAGAGGAGTCTCCACTGCTCCTGCAGCCTAAAAGGCACAGCAGTGAGAGAATAGCAGTGTCACCCAGCGGACACCACTGGGCCTGCTCGAGCTGACCCTTTCTGGCTTGGGGCCCCAGGAGAGAACAGGACTGATAATGCATCTCTCCCAAGCCCCCATCTCATCCCAACACCTGGGGCACGAGGGGCTGGGAAAGGTGTCCTTACCGGCTGCATGGTACCCCCCGCAATGACCACTGCCCGGCATTCCTTCACCACTTGGGCAAAGTGCACAGCTGGATTCAGGAGCAAAAACTTCAGGGTGCTCTGACTGAGGCTGCCTGGAAAAACAGATCGGTGGGAGGTGAGTGCAAGCCCAACAGACACTTCTGTCGTCCCAGCAAAGGGGGTCCCCCAGGTGAGTCCAGGTCTGAGGCACAAGTGCTAGTGCTTTCTCTTTAAATTAAACACCATTTAATCTCTAGGACAACCAGCCCACAGAGGTGGACCACACTGTCCTCTCCATCCTTTTTTTTTTTTTTTTTTGAGATGGAGTCTCGATCTGTTGCCCAGGCTGGAGTGCAGTGGCTCAATCTCGGCTCCCTGCAACCTCCGCCTCCTGGGTTCAAGCAATTTTCCTGCCTCAGCCTCCCGAGTAGCTGGGACTACAGGCACCCACCACCACACCCTGCTAATTTTTTGTATTTTTAGTAGAGACGGGGTTTCACTGTGTTAGCCAGGATGGTCTCGATCTCCTGAACTCACGATCCGCCCCCCCTCAGCCTCCCAAAGTGCTGGGATTATAGGCGTGAGCCACCGCGCCCGGCCTATCCTCTCCATTTTCATATGAAGAAACTGAAGTTGAGAAAGAAAATAGTCCAAATCACAAGGCTCATAGATGACAAAATCATGACCCAAACCAAAGCCCACCTACCCCACAGTAGAAGTTTCCCTAGGACCCCTGCCCTAGAGGACCCCCATCCCAGCTCCTCGATCTCCTCCCGTCCACCTCCACTGCTTACCCTGGTCACGGGACCCCCATCCCAGCCCTTCGATCTCCTCCCATCCACCTCCACTGCTTGCCCAGGTCACAGCAGGCCAGTGCCCACTGCACTGCTTCCTCCTAACCCAGGAAGTTCCCAGGATGGAAGGAAAGAATCCTTTCACGCTGCGGCTCCCGGGCTCAGCTTGGCTCCTTCCTGGGAACTGAACCTGGCCAAGAACCACCTGATTACCTTGGCGGCTCAGGATGACCCTGCCGTCCTGGTTGGCCGTAGTGAGAGCTGCCAGGAAGCCTTGGATGTGCATCAGTGGAGAAGCTGGTCGCAGGGTGCTGGCCTGACTCTCGTCTGCAGGGGCTGCAAGAGCTGCACAGAGCAGAACGGGGAGGAGGCCTCCCTCTGGTCAGGTCCACACATGAGGAACAGAAGTCCTTGCCCATGCGTGCAGCCGGCTCTGCCTGCCCACCCTCCTGCCTCACCTTCAGTCGTCCTGGGCTGCAGGCTCTGCAGGAATTGCTGAAACCCAGCCAGTTTGGGCTGCTCCCGGGATGAGAACACTGCTCCGTACCGTTCAGTGAATCCAAAGAGCTGGGTGGGATGAGAGAGAGCAGTGGAGAGGAACGAGGTACAGCCATGAGAGAGAGGCTGGGTGGATCGGAGGCTCTGCCAGGCCCAAGACACCTGCAGCACACATCCCACCACCCCAGCAAGGCCCACTGCACCAAGGAGAGTGGAGACGAAGGGGACTCTGGAGTTCCCTGAGGGCAGGGGAGGAAAGCATGGCAAGGGCAGGGGGTTGGGGCACAGCTGGGTCTTGTTCAGGACCACAAGATGGGAGCAGTTACCTTTCTGCTGATCATGCTCTTCTCACAGTATCGCTGCACCTGCAAAAACCAAGCCCAGCTGTAGGCATGAGTGCAAACTGAGCAAGCTATAATCTTAAAAACAAAACAAAAAACACCACTTCTACCACCCAGGCAGCACAACGCAGTGCTACCTTCTGAGGCACCTGGAGCCTCCTTGCCACCAACCTTGTCATCTCCTCTCCGAGGCCACCCCCTCCTCTACTGCCCCTGCCCACAACGCAGTGTCCTCCTCAGGGTGGAGACCCTCTTTCCAAATGTCTCTCTCAAGTCTAAGAGTGCTCAGTAAAATCCAGTTCCCCTTGGCTTTCCTTCCAGGTGACAAAGAGTTAAAAAAAAAAAAGGAACTTCTATGAGCAAAGCCACAGAGGAGATGATGGCTGGGACCTGCTCAGGGGCTGGGGCAGTGCCACTCAGTCGGTGCATCCAATGTGTGTGGTTTGGTGCCAGATCTTAGCTTGGGATGCAGAGATGAGGAGTTTGGAGCCTTTAAACCGGTTTCTAAAAAGAGCGACGTCCTTCGATGAGGATTCCCTCAATGGTGAGTGATGAGACCCGAGACCCATGGGAAGAAGAGGGGAGAAGGAAAGCAAGGAGGGCAAAGGGAAGGCGAGAGAAGGAGTGCCTGCACCCATGTCCCAGCTGTGGGAGAAGCGCAGGGACGGCAGGACTGTCTCAGGCTGTCAGGCCTGGCGGCTGTCACAGGCATGTGGGAGACAAGGGGAGAAAGGCATCAAGGATGACCTGGATCCAGCCTGTCTGGCAGGGATGGCGGCAGTGACAGTGACCCAAATGTGTAATTCAGGGGAAAAGCTGGTTTTAAGAAAAAAAAGGCAGGCAGGATGGGAAGAATGTGGGGCCCCAAGTCAGTGCAGCCAGGTTTGGACGCTGTCTCTGCCACTTGCTATTGGCTCACTTGTGGGAAGCCTGTGCTCGCCACCCTCCTGAAGTCACCTCCACGGGCCTGTTTGCTTTCCTTGCTGGGGCAAAAGGATATCCTAGCTCAGAGCACAGCACATGGCATGCCGCCTACAACAGAGGCAGAACCCTGTACCCGGGGGCAGTCACTGTTGCTGATTTGAGTTACGAGCTTGGGGTTCAGGCGGCAGTGGCCGTGTTTCATCTGGGGAGCGCTGGGTACACAGACCTGGAGTGAGCAGAGGTCTGAGGCTGCAACCAGACCCAAGGCCCAAGTGGGAAGACGTGACAGGGGTTGCACAGAACAAATCAACGTCCTATTCCTGTCCATAAGCCTGAGGGAGACTGTGCCAGAAGACGGAGTGAGAGAGCAAGGACCTGGAGTCTCTATCTGTTCTATGGGGCACCAAGAAAGGTCCCTTTCTCACCCATCCCTCATCCCTGTGGCCTTCACTCTAAAAGAAGATGACTTTTGTCTCACAGGCATGTTGCGTTAAGGGTTAAGTAATTACACATCTGTTTTGCTTTTTCTTCCTTCTACAGTCTTAACATAGTACTTTACCCACAGGTGGTGACAGGAAGGAAATTGGATGTGGAATGTGGAAAGGTGGAAACCTCTACCTTGAACAGGTTGATGTTGTCGATCTGGCTCTGGAAGAGAAAGTCGTTGATGGTCTTCAGCTCCGTCCCTGAGAACAAACACATGAAGGGCCTTGGGAGCTTCACCCTAAGCCTCAGGTTTCAGTCCCAGGGTTAAGCTCGGAAGTGGCTCAGATCAGCTCTGGGCCCTCTGAGGGCAACTCTCTTACCTGTCTGTGACAGACTCTGTGTATTGGGATTTTGCTTAATGTTCCCTAAAAAAGAGAATGGAAATAGGTCACAATGCTGGTTCTCAGGACCCCCAACCCTTCCCTATCTTCTCTCCCTCCACACTGCACATCAAGTAAGAAGAGCATCTGTATTTAAATGGCTTTGTTTTGCTTTTCACTGTTTATAGCATGCAACGGACCCACTGAGAGGGCAGGTGGGTCCAGGAGCCTCCCATGTCTGACTCACGTGCTTGCACGTGGAACCCAAAGCCCTGTAAGTTCATGTTTTTCACCCCTTCTCCAGGAGGCCGGGACACAGCAGCCAGACCAAGGTATGCAGGGCACCGGAGCACAGAGGAGCTGCCCAGGCCACTGGTGAGCCTGAGGCAAAGCAGAGCTGGTGGCTCAGAGCAGCAACACGAGACCAGCTCCCGCCAGGAGCTCCCACAGGCTTTCTGCAGCTTCCACTTCCACAGACGCCTTCCAAGGGGGTGCCCCATCATAAAAGAAGGGGACGTGACAGGGTCATGCAAAGAGGCGTGGGAGCTGGAGTCAGAAGATCCCAGGCTCCCGTGCTGGGAGCAGCCCTTGCTCCGAGCTCTAGTTTATGCGTCTATCAACAAGGATTCAAATACCAGCACTGCGTTCTCACAGGGCACACAAAACCGCATATGCAAGTGCTTCGAACAACCCACAGAACTATGCCTATCACGGAAACACCGTGTGTCTATGTGATGCTGTATCCTTAATATCCCCCCAGAGCAGGGCCTGAAATAAAAAGTCCTCAGAACATGGGCAAAGAACCCATGGGTCTAAATAAAGCTCAAGTCAGACAACTCAACTAAGCTACAAAGAACAAGAATTTTCTAAATCAATGACCAAGACCCTTCTTTTTTTTTTTTTTTTTTTTTTTTGAGACTGATTCTCACTCTGTCGCCCAGACTGGACTGCAGTGGCACAATCTCGGCTCACTGCAACCTCCGCCTCCCGGGTTTGAGCAAGCAATTCTCTTGTCTCAGCCTCTGGAGCAGCTGGGACTACAGGCCACGGCAACACTCCCAGCTAATTTTTTTGTATTTTTAGTAGAGATGGGATTTCACCATGTTGGCCAGGCTGGTCTCAAAACTCCTAACCTCAGGTGAACCACCTGCCTCGGCCTCCCAAGTGCTGGGATTACAGGCGTGAGCCACCGCACCCGGCCGACCCTTCTTAAAAACACAGAGAACTGAGGTGTCCTGATGGGCATCCAAGGAAAAAGCAGCCCAGCGAGTTTTGCAGGCCCGGGGTCAGCAGGGGGACGAGGCTCTCACCCCCTAGCACAGCCACGAATTTCTCCAGCAAATACAGGATCTGCTTCAGGTACATCAGGTTCTTGGCCTTCAAACGCTTCCTGAGAAGAAGCCAACGGACATTAAGTGGTGGTGCCCTGATGGCGACTCGCCCCGCCCACCCCAGTGGAAGCCTTGCTGCCCGGTGCCTCTCAAACTGGGTCACAAGCTACAAATCCTTTCCCAGAGAGCAGGCTGGCCACGGCCCCAGGCCTCAGAGCCAGCGGTCAGTCCCCAGCCTTCCAGGTCTGTGTGCAGCACACACCATGATGTGCCTAGGACATGAATGGCATGCAGCTCCACCCCGCCACAGCCCGGGCCAGAGGTGGGAACCAAAGTGCTGCCTGCCTCTCAGAGGCCCACGCAGGGGGCCACCAAGGGACTGTCCCACTACCTCAGAGGGTCACATCTCACCCGTATCGCTCCACGTACTGCAGCAGCTGGGAATGGGCCTGGCAGAGCTGGGGAAAGAACACAAACCAGGCTCTGAGCAAGCAGCTGAGGGCTAAGGTACTGACATCTTAGATTCACCTAGAAGATGCTGGCCCTGGACACACAGGAAGCCACCAAAGGGAGGAGAGGGGGCTGGCTGCAGACAAAAGGTACGGGTTTCCACAGCCCTTAGGCTGGTGGGAGCTAAGAGAAAAGGGAAGGAAGGGAAGTTTTCCTCCAGTGTCCACTGTGGGTCAGAGAAAAAGCAAGAGGCTGAATTCCTCAAGTATGGAATCTCCCTGCTAAGTTTCCACCGGGTTGGGAAAAGACCTGGAGTCTACAAAGAGTGATGGTTCAAGGCCACCATCACATCCCAGCCTCAATTCAGCCCAGGCACAGGTCAGTAGAGCTGGTGGGATGTCGTGGGGGTTTTCACAGTCAGAAACCAGTGGGCACACCCCAGCTCCACACTCATGAGCTGCATGACCTCAGGACAGAGCTTGACCATCTTTGAATCTCCAAGTTTCCAATGTAAAACAGGAACACCACACCCATGGCAGAGTCAGCGTGAAGACCAGAGACACCTGGTGCCATGCATGGCGCATGATAGGGCAGCAGGAGGAGCCTGCGCTGATCTTGAGCATTCCTCAATTCAGTCCCCTCCAGACAACTTCAGTAATGACAAAATCCAATCCTGAGGGGACTTCTGCCTCACACATGCCATCTCCCTGGCTTACAGAACTGGCTGCTGGCATCCAGGGCTGGAGGGACTCAGGAGCATGGGGGCAGATGAGGTGCAGGGAAATGAGGCACTCTGTCATAGCGGGGTCCCCCGATGCACTGGAAAGCCATGGTCAGCCTCCGATGAGGTCACCGCCTTGACTCGTGCACCCTCTATCAAGCCCCACCTCCGGAGGAACTCTTGGCCCAGGTGTCTGGAGGAACCATCCAAGTCCCTTTACGTCACAGCAGGCCCTGGCCCGGGGAGGGGAGGCCCACACACCTGGGAGCCGCTGACCTCCACGCTGTGCATGCCCGTGATGGTGTCGATCAGGTTGTGCGCCTCGTCGATGATCACCACCTGGTCCTGCAGCCGGATGCCCGCGGCCTGCCGAGTGGCCGCATGCAGCAGCATCTGATAGGGCAGCACCACCAGCTGGGAGGGGAGATGAGGCCACCTGAGCAGGGCGGGGCTCCCCTGCAGGAGCCTTGCCTGCCTGACACTGAGCTCCTGATGTGAGTGCTTCTATTTCCTGCCTGGACTGTGTAGAGACATTCGAAAAACAGCTTGTGGCAACGGACAAGCTCTCCTCGAGTTTCACATGAAAAGCCAATACATGAAACACAGGAAACTAGGGCTGGTCTGACTCCTGAGTAAACCAAGGGCAGGGCTGGGTGAAGGGAACCCCTGCTTAGCCTTGTCCATGTCCTCAAGGTCGCCCCGGAGGCCCCCGAGTTTCCACAAACACCTGCAGACCATCGGTGCACCAGGAAGCGGCCCCAGCTTCTACTCCTGGAGCTGCTACTCCCCAGCTGTGTGACTCTGGAAGAGTTGTCTAACCTCTCTGACTCTTGCTTTCCTCATCTGCAAAATAGGGTTGATACATCCTATTTCAAAGTGAGGGTTAAGGCGTGGAGCTGGGGTAACAAAAATAAAAGCAACTCTGCACATCTTTAGGTGTTTGTTGTTAGGAAAGTTTCCAGTTAAAGGAATACTCATATAAAAAATAAAATATCGGAAAACTGAATGGCTCCATCACCCACGCTTGGTGAGAAAATATGAGTCACTTAACTTTTCTGGGCTCCAGTGTCCCCATGCACAGAATTTCACTGGAATACTATTAACATAAAAGCAAAATATGGTCAAAGTACTTTAAAAATTCAAAAATTGTAAAGATTTTGGGCCATATTATGGTATTTGTGTATAAATGCCTATAGCACTAATCTTGCTCTAAAGGCAAACAGACGGGAGGGAAGGCCTGGGACACCATGGGGCCTGGCAGCTTTCCTCAGTTTCTCTGCCAGTGCCCACACAGCTCAGCAGGTATGCTGGTGAGCATTTAGCTGCTGTGCAAATGGTTACTTAGTTCCCTGAATCTTTTAAAACCTTACATTTTTTTCTGGATTATACAGAATTTTCCACTAGTGATATCCCGTTTCCAAAGTCACTCAAATTAAAGAAGTAGCAAGGAAATAGTGAAACTGCACCCACCAAATAACAGTGAGATACTACTTTTGATCTGCTACATTAGCAGTTCTTCCTTCTGTTTAAAAATCAAGAGAAGTTGAGGCAGAGAAGACAGTATTCTCACGTGCTGCAGGTAGGTGTAAGTTAGGGAAAGCTTTCCAGTTAAGAGTACTGATATTACAAAAAGGAAAAACTGGAAAACTGAATGGTTCTATCACTGACATCCTCCATCACATCATAGGCATGGAAGTTGGGAGCATCACTTGGAAAGCCATTTGTAAATAGATGTATGCAGCACACTCTTCTCAGCTCCTGGCATCCCCCCTCTCCCTGTGGTTTCACTAGGAATGCACCGGCTTTCCTGGCTCCTAAATACCATCCCCAGTAATGCCAACTGGCCCTGCTGCCTGGAGACCCCAAGGGATCCCACGCGCCTCCTCCAACTCACACATCAGGAGAGAATGGGTTAAGGTGCCATCAACCTGACCACGGTGGGGGGCATCCCCCAAACTACAGTGTGATGAGGACCCCCCTCATGGCCTAGACCACAGTGAGAGTCAAGAGCGGCTTTCTGGCCCTGCAGGGCCCTCACCTGGGCTGCAGGGATGGCAAGGCGGCTCCCGTAATAGGGACAGGCCCGGGCCTCCTTCCCAAGGGCCAGCAGCTGCTCCATGTCCTTCACCTCTGCCAGGGCCTCATCCCGGAGAAGGCCCATCTGCTCGTGGTTGTA
The DNA here is from genome assembly GCF_000001405.40 of Homo sapiens. Classification (NCBI taxonomy): domain Eukaryota; kingdom Metazoa; phylum Chordata; class Mammalia; order Primates; family Hominidae; genus Homo; species Homo sapiens. The sequence goes on along the minus strand of NC_000012.12, from coordinate 31,089,956 downwards.
GAAGGGGCAGGCTGCCTGCTTCTCCTGCCTCCTCCTCTTTGGCTTCTCCTCCTCAGCTCCTTTCTTCTTCTCTGAGGGTGGCACAGGCACAAAGAGAGAAAACAGAGAGGACAGCAACTGTCCACGGGCCCAAGAGGGGGTTGTGTAATGTTGAGACCCACTTCCATGGGGTAGGGTCTATAAGACCCTCCCAAGTACTGCCTACTGTGGTCTCATCGGAACACTGTAAGGTTTTACTTCTGTTCTCCAGAAAGAGCCCGTAAAATCATCTCCAAGCCAAGGATTCGGACCAGACACTGACCCAGAGAGTAGGAACACTTTTTCCCAAGGAGAGGGGACTCAGGAAGGAACTGGGGTCTCCTCTGCCATTCTTTCTATGAAAGACACTTAATGGTCTTCAGTCACTGCCACCCCTGCCTCACTCTCTCCAGACCACCTGCGGCTACACCATGGTCCCAGTGGCTACCGTGCCTGCTTCTCTGCATGTCCACACAGCGGTCGTTGATAAGCTGCACAGAACCTAGGCTTTTCACGTCTTCATTTACACAAAGGTTCTGCAGCAAAGGAGAAAGAAAGAGGCAAAAAGATGGTGCCAGCTAAATGACATCCTACCAACACACGTGGACCTGCCCCGCCACCTCTCCTTTGCCTTCCAGTGCTGGGCCGGCCAGGTCAGGGAGGGGGCTGCTCCTCACACGGTTCAGCCTGTCACAGACCCAGCGTCTCCCAAGGCCTGGACGAGCAGGACAAAGTTGTGGCGAAAGGAGCAGGATGGCCCCTGGTGGAAATACTGGCTACTGTTTACCTGCCGGGAGCCAAGGGAGACCAGCCGAACATCCTTGCCAAAGGGGCTCTTCTTCACCTCATGCACAAACTGGGCCAGCTGGGAGTGTGTCCGACTACAGTAATAAATCTAGCAGAGAGAAAGAAAGGCGCTTCAAAGAGAGAACCAAAACATCCCACAGCATTCTCTAACATCAAGGCACGCCAGGGCCTGAGAGGCTGAGGGAAAGGGAGTGGCTCCCAATGCACAAAGCCGAGGCAGGACAGCAATGTCCCATGTCAGGCATCTATCGAGGGACCCAGGGATTCCCAAGTCACCCACAGCTCCAGAAGTTCAAGGGAATGCCCCAAAGGCAGCTCCTTCCACGAGTCATATCCAGCCTCTAATCAACCGCTTTTGGGGGGTTGGCCAATCTTTGGACATGGGTGACCATCTCCCGTGGCAAAGGGTCCCCACTTGGGGAGGGTGGGTTGTTGGTGGGAGGGGAGGGAGTGTGTCACACACATCCCCAAAGGGAAAAAGGAAGGCTGACCAGAATACCCTCTCTCTACTCCTCTAAGGCAAGAGTGAAGGGAGAAAAAAAGAAAATACAAAGAAAATACCTACTTCCGACAGAAAACAAGTCATAAATCAATGAAACCAAATGGGAAATGTCAGACCATACACAACCCATAGCCCTCCATGCAAATGGGAACACAGACAAAGGGAGAAGCACACCATGAGAGACCCAAAGGGCAGGGGACTCATGTCTGTCCTACCCGTACCACCCAGCAGGGACAGAAAACACCCAGATTTCAGCCCAGAACAGCTGTTCCTCGATGCCCTGGGGTGGCAAGCATGGCCCTGCCCCCAGGAGAGGTCTCCCCAGGCCCCGAACCCAGGAGATGTCTCCCCAGGCCCCAAACTCAAGAGAGGTCTCCTCAGGTCCCTGTTCCCAGGAAAGGTCTCCCCAGGAGAGGACTCCCCAGGCCCTGACCCCAGGAGAGGACTCCAGGGTCCACTGCAGCTGGCCAAGGGAGCAACTTAGGACCAGGGTTGTGTGCAAGAAGCAACGGAGTCCAAGTGCTGGAAGCTCCTCCTTTGTGGAGAGGAGGGTGAGAAGTAGCCAAGTGACTCCAGCCTCCTCCCCAGGGGTGCACAGCCCAGCCTATACCCCCAGCACAGCACCAGCTGAGGACACTTGTGTTACCTTAGTTATGTGTTCTTCCTCCAGGTCATCCTCATCCTCATCCACTCTGTGTGTGTGAGAGAGAACAGAAAACAGTCTTCCCTCAGCAAACTCAGCAAAACGCACTGAGCATCTGCTGAGCGCTGGTGCTGAGCCCTGGCCATTCCCAGCAATGGGTTCCACCAAGGTAGCAGGTGCTGCTCGCTCAGAAACTCCCCCAGGCAAATGCCAACCCCAACCTCCCATGGCCGCTCAGGTCTGTGGGTAGGGAAATGTAAAAAGGAGAAAGGGGCTCAGCACCCCCAACCCAAGTCTTGAGTCGGAAGCCTCGGGACTCATGGCAGGCTGCTCTCCTCTCTGCCCTCCCTCCAGCAAGCTGGACCCCTCTGAGGCCCCAGGGCGGATATTTGCTCTTCATCATCTCAGGCCTTCGGATGTTCTGTGCCTGGAATGTTGTCTCCCCTCACCAGCTCCCAGTCAACTCTGAGATAGCAGCAGAAACATCACCTCCTCCAGGAAGCCTTCTTTGACCTTCCCTGGTAGGCCTGGCTGCTCTGACACAGATTCATGGCCCCTGCTCTTCACACCCATCTCATTCAAAATCGCTTCCTCTCGGTCTATCTCCCCAGACTGTCATGTCCACAAGGGAGGACCCAGGTCGGCCTTGTTTCTGCTGAGTCCCCGTGGCCTCACCTAGAGCTTGGTATGCAGCAGGAACCCCATGACCATCTCCTGGATGAAGCTACAACTGACCAATCGAGTGAACAGAGGATGCTGTCACTTATGACCAGCTACAACTCTTCTTGTGTCAGTGCCTCAGTCTGCCCTTCCCAGCAATGCGGGAAGAATCCATCAGCGCCAGGCGTTGGCAGGGAAGCCAGCCCTGCATCCCATGGCCTGAAGCTGAGCTAGCTCTACTAGTCTATGCTCCTCAGAAAACACAAAACCATCTGACAGGCACACGCTACCTATGGCAACATCACATAAAAAGAAAACATTTTTGTTCACCTCGAAATTCCTTTCTAACAAAACAGAATACAATTGTCTTGGGCTATCAGAAGAGTAATTATTACAGGCTTGGCTTCATGGTCACTAAAGAGCAGGCGGCTCTATCTTAAAAGGCTTGGATTCAATCTTATGTCGCATGCTGGACAAAGCCAGCAGGAGCTCACTGAGAGGCTGGGTGTGTGAAGAAATGAAGAGCAAAAATTTTCTATTCAGAACTCAGGTCCTCCGAGGCTCACGTTATCTCCTGAAACGTGAGGGCATGGGAAGCCCCAGAAGCTGACCTACAGGATCCATGGCTCTTGCCCAGACCTGAAGGAGCACTTTGTTCCTTTAATATTCACCACCTCCATCTCCACTCAAGTTCTCTGCCTTGTCCCCACGGGCTCTAAGGGAGAAGAGAGGGAGCAGAAACATGACCTCGGAGGCGGGCAGGAAGGGTTCATGGAGCACAAACTGTTTATGACCCCCTCTCACCAGCGAGGCATAAAGCAACACGGTGGTCTCTGCCCTGGGCAGGGGCAGAAGTCGAAGTTCACATGCGCAGCCTGGAATTACACTACCAGACTGCAACGAGGCAGCATCTGCTCATTCATGTCAACTCGATTTTATTGAGCACACCCCTATGCCAAACACTGGGTCAGCTCTGGGAACATCAAACTATAAAGACGTGGTTCCTGCCCTGAAGCAGCTCGAGCCCAGCCAGGGAGAGGAGGCAACAACAGAAGCACAAGCAGGTGCATGAGCAAAACAGAGCAGCTGACACCCGAAGCCACCAAGACGACACCTGAGCCAGGCCTTAAAGGAGAGGAAGACATCTGCCAAGGGAGGAGGGCAGGGTGTTTGGCCACAGCACGTTGCATGAGCAAATCCTCAGACAGGACAGAGGAAGGCCTGGTGCGCTGGAGGAAGTTCAGGGCAGCGGGGAAGCTGGCGTCTGGTGGATGGCGGCTGGAGGTGGCATCAGAAGGCGCCCTGCAGACAGACTGTGAAGGCCGGGGATGAACCTTCAGGAATATCCATGGAGGGTCTCTGGTCTTGCAGTTACCCTCCGACAGATGTGGTGGCCAGGATGTCACAGGACACACGGGACTCATCATCAGGTGCAGCCCCCCACCCCATCCACATCACCATTTTGTTTTCCTTGTAGGCAAACATGCTGACTTCACATAGGTGCTATTTGTTTTCATGTCTATTAACTGTCCCCTCCATGTCTTCTTCCCTTCTATGTCCACAGCATCTGGACAGTGCCATACTCAGAGCAGACACTCAGGGATGGTGGTGAGGTTCCAGTGTGAATGGGAACAGGGCTGTGACCAGGGATCCTGTGGGCCCGAAATGGCCTGGGTGGCCTGCTCAGGGCTAAGTCACCCAGCAGCTCATGGCTCATCAAGTGGAAACCTTGAGTCTGGACCAACAGAGGCTTTATGGGAGAAGGAAAGCTCAGGCTAAGGACGCCTTGATGGTTGGCACCTCACAGGTTACCCAGTGCAGTCAGCTGCCTCAGAGCCTGAGATCTAGAGCCAGGCCAGCTGAGTTCTAGCCCAGCTCTCCACTGCCGAGGCTTGTGGCCTCAGCCAAGGAGTCTCTCCTTGTGGGGCTGCAGCCTCCTTGTGTATAAGGCGCAGACACAAATGTTCCTGCCCTGCCTGAGCTGCCGTGAGGACAGCTGAGAGGACACAGGCCAGGCCGGTGACTGTCCTCACTGCCACTGGCACTCATGGACCCTAGGAAGGACCCGGCTTAGAGCAGAGGGCAGAGGCCACCATGCCTCTTGCCAGGTGCTTCATGGCATCTGTGGCATGAGGGAAAGAGCTGTCTTCAAGGGTGTCCCCTGGCCTGGGGCAGGGTAGTGCTACCGCCTCTGTCTCACCTGCTCGCCACCTTTTTCTCCTCATCACTCTCGTATTCGGCGAGGACCAGCTCCTCCTCCCCAGACTCCAGCTGCTCCAGCCGCTCAGCCTCCGGGCCTGTCTCTAGCATCTCCCTGCTGAGGCGGAGGAGATTCTCTCTTTCTTCTTCTTCCTGCCTCTGGACAGGGGTAGTGGAGGTGGTGAGGGAGGAAGAAGTCTCAGCACCAGTACCCACCTCCCCACATGCCAGAGACAAAGCACACCACGCCCCATTCACATAGGCCTGGCTGCCTGGCTGGAGAGAGGTCGACTCCTAGGATCCACGCCTCAACCACTCACAGCCCAGCTTCTGTACGGGAGCACATAGCCAGTGAGGGTCACGGAGGGGAGACCAAGGCCCTGACCACGCACCCATGAGCCTCCAAGCAGAGCAACCCTGCCTGGACATAATCCTGCCCCCCAAGAAATGAGGCTCACCAGGCGCTTGGCTGCATACTTGAGCTGCACCCTGTGCTGCAGCTGCTGCAGGCGTTCTTCTCGCTGCTTCCTCCTGGCCTGCTCCGCCTACAGGAGGCAGACATGAAGGAAAATCACCAAGGAAGCCCAAAACCAGGCCTCTCCTAAGGAGTCTGGGCCACTCAGCCCGGCGCCTCCTCACTGGGGGCATCTCTCCTTCCCCGGCCAGCACTCAAGGGCTGCCGCATCCCCTCCCGGGACCTCATCCCTGCCGGTCCCAGCCTCGCTGCTCACTGCGGAAGGCGGCACACTCCTCCCAAAGCCACACGCTCTCCATCAGATCCATTTGCAGCCATTGAACCATGCTGCCAATGGCAATGATCAGGTCCTTTCCCAGGTGAGTAATAAATGGGCACCAACAGTTCCTTATGTGGAGAAGGCCTGCTGACCTCCAGCTCAAAAAAGACAGCACAGCGGCAGCACCATAGACCCAAGGAGCTGAGGGAAGAGCTGAGAGGCACGGCAACGGCAGGGGAGCATGCACTGCCTGAGTCTCGGAATCGCCCCAGAACAATCGCTGAAGCCCTGTTTCCTCCAGTACTCCCACTTCCGGATACCCCAGGTCTCACCTTTAGTCGGTCCACCAGGTCCCTCTCTTCTTTCTTCTGCACAAACTGAGTAACCCAGGCCGGTTCTCCAGCAGGCCTCGGGGTGCCTGCAGCCCCTTCGCAGGAAGAAGACAGACACAGGGATTCATCTTTCTCATCATGTAAGGGGCCAGTTCCAGTTTCAAGGAGTCGTGCCTCTTCTTCACGCTTCTTCTGTTCAAAGTCACGGAGCCAAGAGAGGGCCCCACAAATAAGACTTAAGGACTTCCCCTGCAGGAAGAAAAATGATCTTTAGAAACAGGAAAACAACAAAGCCTCCCAAATGACCTTTCCCCATTTTAATAAAAGCTTGAAAGAAGGTCTGGCTGTACATAGGAGAGGATGCTCTAAGACCAGCCTAGGAAAGGAAAGGAAGGAAATTAGCACTAGAATAGCCAGGAAAAACAGAAAAAAGAAAGAAATGGAAACTGGGCCCAAGAAGCAGGAAAAAGCTTCTTTAATTATCCAGCTCACTGTTCTGAAAACAAATTTGAAGCAGTTTATCAGATTCTATGTAAATATCGCACATAATTAGAAGAAGGGGAGACATTAGACAAAAAGTCCCCTAAAAGAATTAAGGCCCCAAAATGCTGAGCAAGAAATCCCAGGTACTCGCCAACAGGGAGCCAGAGTGACCGCGCGGCCTTCGTGCAGCTCGTGCGTGGATACAGGATGATCAGTCATGAGCGCCAGTGCTTACGGTTTGTGTTTTGTTTTGTTTTTTTTTTTTTAAGCAAACTAATCACTCTGGAAGACACCACTCTGTCTGTTTTTGAGAGGAGGTCTTGCTATGTTGCCCAGGCTGGTATGGAACTCCTGGGCTCACACAGTTCTCTGGCCTCAGCCTCCCAAGTGGCTGGGACCATAGGTGTGCGCCTCCATATACAGACTGGAGAACACTACCCTTGACTTAAGACCAGAATTTTCCATAAGCCTGATTGAGTTGTATTCCTCCAAATTCCTGTGTTGAAATCCTAACCCCCAGCATCTCAGAATGTGGCCTGATCTGGAAATAGGACTGTCGCAAATGTAATTAGTTAAGATGAGACTACTAGGACGGGACCCAGCCTAAAGGGCTAATATCCTTATTGGAAAGGGGACACGTGGATGCAGACATGCACAGAAGGCAGGCGATGTGATGATACCCAAGGAGAACACGCCACCTATAAGCCAAGGAAAGGGGCCTGAAGAGATCTTTCCCTCACGACCCTCAGAAGGGACCAAGCATGCTGACACCTTGATCTCGGACTCCAGCCTCCAGCGCTGTGGGATGTCAGTTTCTGTTGTTTAAGCCCCAGTTTGTGAAGCTTTCCTCTAGCAGCCCCAGGGAACCAATACAGTTCTTCCAGAGAGGACCCTTCAGGGAGCGCCACAAGGAGGCGGCCCTGGTGTCCACAGGGGAACTCAGCTCAGGGGAGTCTCTGGAGGACCCCATGCCTTCTGCTCCAGGCAGTCAGCTCTCTGAGCCTGCTGAACCCAGAGGGGATCTCAGAGTATCCAGGGCGGGGTGAAACACCTCGTATGACTACGGTTGGGGCAGCAGCGCGGCGCAGGAGTCAGAGTCTCAAACTCCACAGCCAGGTGCCAGGGTTCCAGCTGTCTCCCCCACCTGCAGCTCTGTGGCTCAGGCTGGCCTCACTACGCTTGTTTCCACGAGTGCAGAAATGGAAATGACAACAGCGGCACCTTCCTCATAGAGCTGGTGCAAGCAGGACATTAACACACACAAAAGGCCAAATCCTCTGGATTAGAGGATTACCTGGCAAATAACAAGTGAGCGGTTGGAGTTAGCTAACTTTTTGCTATCATTAAGTAATAATAATAAAATTATTAATAGCATTATTCTGGAATATGGGATCTATTAGTTTTCATCAAAATCTTGAAAGGCCCTGGGATAGGATAGAATGACATTGTTGACAAATGGATGGATCCCATATTTTTAGGAAAGCCCCATATGTACCATTTCCCTCAGCTTTTGATAGAAAGTAAATGGCAAAGAGTTCCAGGCAGCATTTCCCAGCAGCACCTGGAGGGCGGCTCTTCTGTGCTGTCTGTGATATCGGAAGCAGTCAGCTTCAGCTGTCACTGGGCTGGGAGACACAATGGTTAGAAAGCCAGTGCCCTCCATTTGAAAGTGAGCTGAGGAAGTTCCTAAGGGTATGGTCAAAGTTATCTTTCAAAAACAACCGTGGTATACTCCGGCACAACAGCAAAAGAATAACTGAGGCCCACTGTTTTCTACATCGTGTAATAAGACCACAAAACTTTTAGACTGGAAAATGTTAAAAGGATTTATAACCAAAGGCTCACCTTCCTGGGGTATCATCAACAGTTACATGATTTATGCCAAGATAAGCAAATTCATTCACTCTGAACACCTGCTGGTTGCAGCAAGCATGGGGCTCAGAGCTGAGGACACAAAGGTGCAGAGCCCCTAGAAAATGCTCACAGGTTCACATGTAACATACAATTCGAGGGCATCATAGATCCCCGCAAAGCATGCATTCCAGGTTGGATGACTCCCGGAACTGCAGTATTACACAAGGCACAGCACACACCAAGTGGTAATGGTGACTCAACTTGATAGACCTGTATAAGGCTTAAAAGGTGACTATCAAGGATAAACAGCATCTGGGGCAGCTAAGGTGGGGCACCTGTGCATCCACGGCGGGGAAGGGCATGGTAGGCACAACAGGTAACACAAACCCCACTCAGGGTGTCCCACAGCATGGCTGCTTCTATGGGCTGCGGGACACCCAGGACAGGAGAAAACACTCTATTCAGGAGATGATTTAGAAGACAGAAGAATGTCAAAGGTAATAAAGCCACAGGGTACATTCACAGAGACTGCACACAAGAAGATGAAGCTATAGAACCAGAAACATCGACAATTAAAGGCTGAGCAGAGGAAGAAGACGCAGAAGCCTGGAGTGCAGAAGACTGAGATGGAAAGACCTGAGAGGGAGAAGATGGGTTGTCAGGCTAAACAAGGTGAAAGGGGTCAGGTACAGTGGCTCATGCCTGTAATCTCAGCACTATGGGAGGCCAAGGAGGGAGGATTGCTTGAGCCTAGGGGTTTAAGACCACCGGCCTGAGCAGCATAGTGAGATCTCATTTCTACAAATTAAAAAATTAGCTAGGTGTGATGGTGCACACCTGTAGTCCCAGCTGCTCAGGAGGCTGACGTGGGAAGATCACTTGTTGCCAGAAGGTTGAGGCTGCAGTAAACCATGATCTTAACACTGCACTCGGCCCTGGGCAACAGAGCAACACCCTGTCTCTAAAATTAAACAAGGCAGAATGAACATGCACTCATCTGTGTTCCAAAGCACACTAAAATTAACCAAAGTAATATGGAGGCTTACACCCACAAAAAGAAAGTGGAAGGAGTAATATGTTTTAGGAGAGAGGGAAAGAAGGCAGAGACATGGAAGTGATTTCGGCAGAGACACTCAAGCCCAAGTGTCCCCAGAGATCTCCCCCACTCATTCTCAGAAAGACTCAGGAAGTGGTAGGAACACAGCAGGCCACTGAAAACAAAGGGACGGGTTGAAATTCTTTTTAAGAACAATTAGATTCTCAGGTTGCAATCCCTGCTCCTGCTCCTTGCAGAAGACAGGAAGTGGGCTCTAAGTGGAAGCTGAGCTAGGAGAGCCCTGGAGGCAACCGGCAGATTGAGGAGGCAAGAGGGAGGGGGAGGAGGGCCAGGCTGAAAGCAGGCACTGAGGGGGACTCTCCACCTGGATCCCCTTCCCCAGACCACCTCCCGGAAGACCGGCTATTGGGCTTCAGCGTCTGTACCTGCTGGGCCAGGGCTCAGAGGCACCTGCTCTGGAGAGACTGAAGACTCTAGGGAAAATCCCACAGATGTGCTGGCAACTGGAGGCCCCCAACAAAGGAGCCCAGCCTGGCAGCCACAGCCAGTGCCCTGCAGACTCAGCCTTTCTGTGCCCTGTTCTTCAGCATACACAGGCAGTCCAGGGCTGCCAGACGTTTGAGGAAAGCCTCCAAACGGACGTATACCCTGATGTGGTGTGGGTGCGGCCGTCTGTCCCCATTAACACTCATGCTGAAATCTGTCAAGTCAGTCTGAGGAGCAACTAATTCAAATGACAGGGAAAGGATGGAGGATTCCAGGAGGGCTCCAAGGTAAAAATGGAATTGGTCACTGCTGTGGACTGAATTGTATCCCCACCAAAATGCATGTTAAAAAAATGTTTTTAAAGAACAAAAACAAAACAAAAGAAGCTGTGTATGGTGGTGTGCACCAGTAATCTTGGATCTTGCCAGCCACCAGGTACTTGGGAGGCTGAGAGGGGAGGATCGCTTGAGTTCGAGACCAGCCTGGGCCACATAGTGAGACTGCCCATCTTAACAAACAAACATATGTTGAAATCCTAACCCCGCCATGTGACTCTACTACAGATCTGGCCTTCAAGGGTAAAGGAGGTCATAACGGAGCAGCCATAAGGGAGCAGCCCTTGTCCTCATAAAAGAGAAAGAGACACCAAAGATTTGTTTTTCTCCTCCTCGTCTTTTCTTGCTCCACAGTAAGAACGCAGCCATCTGCAAGCCAGGAAGAGACCCCCTCCCCAGAACCAGAACCCTGCCAGAATCTGGATCTTCAACTTTCCAGCCTCCAGAATGGTGAGAAAATAAATTCCTGTTAAGTCACCCAGTCTATGGTATTTTACTATGGCAGTCCTGGCCGACTAAGACAGGAGTTATCTGTATGGAAAATCATATTGAGAGGCCACTGGATGATGTGGGAGGAACTGGCATAGGTATATTAAAAACTAAACTAACTTTAAAAGGGCAATTATTAACTAGAAAAAACAGAATATTAAGACATATTGTTCAAGACAAAATTATGTTCAAAACATAATCATAACACACTGGTTCACTCAGCAGAGACTAAAACTTAGAATTATATTTGAAGGATGGGGAACGGGAGGGAAAAGAGTTGGTAAGAAAGCCGTCTCATCTACCGTAATAGGTAGGCACCAATGACTTCAGCCTAATTTTTCTCAGACCACAGAGCTATGTTTAAGACTTTAGGCCGGGCACGGTGACTCATGCCTGTAATCCTAGCACTTTGGGAGGCCGAAGCGGGCGGATCACGAGGTCAGAAGACTGAGATCATCCTGGCTAACACGGTGAAACCCTGTCTCTATTAAAACTACAAAAAATTAGCCGGGCGTGGCGGCGGGCACCTGTAGTCCCAGCAACTCAAGAGGCTGAGGCAGGAGAATGGCGTGAACCCGGGAGGCGGAGCTTGCAGTGAGCCGAGATCGTCCCACTGCACTCTGGCCTGGGCGACACAGCGAGACTCCGTCTCAAAAAAAAAAAAAAAAGACTTTAATAGAGGAAGTGACTATTACTCAGATAAACAGAGACTACTCTGCCCAACTTCAAACTATGAAAATCTCTGGATAGGCAAACAGGAAAAGCTAGTACGGCTGCTGTTAAGTTGTCCTTTTCAGTATCTCTCACTGTTCATACTCACAGTGCCAGTTGGACTCTCAAATATCCCAATCTTGCCAGCCTCCAAAACCCGGTACAGCTCTGCCATGAAGTCTTCCTGGATGGAATAGGGTGTGAAGGGAAAAGGAAAATGGATGGCACCAACCTTCTGTGTTTCATTAGCCATGGACCTAGGAAAAATAAATACAACATTAGGGAGCTCTCTCATGGTCCAGGAAGAAGTGGCTTGAAATCTGGAGCATTATTTAAGAGCAGTCTCCACACTTATTACCAAATTTCTCCTTTTTTCTGGGAAGCAGAGACCATGTTCTCTCCATCCTTCGCAGCAGGTCCACGTGAGGCCATACCAGAATCACGCACTCCATCTAGCGGCATTTAACGGCTGTAGCAGAATGCAGACCAGGAAAGCCCCTAAACCCAATCTCCCCTGCATTTCACCGTGGCTCCGATACCTTTCTAATGCCTCTACAAAAGGCTTAGAGCTCTCTTCTCACAGACCAGCACCCCTAAGATCAAGGGTGTTGCTTATAATGACTTTTGCAGCTTTCTTCTCCCACGTCTCTGCAATGCACATTCACAAGCCGAAGCTACTTCACTTTATCCCGTTGTGAAGTCCTGGAAAATCATGACGCACAGGCAGAGGACCATAAGCACAGCTTGTTGTTTGGATAGCGCAAGTTAACATACACGTCCCTATCTTTTTTTTTTTTTTTTTCGAGACAGAGTCTCACTCTGTCGCCCAGGCTGGAGTGCAGTGGCGCAATCTCGGCTCACTGCACGCTCCGCCTCCCGGGTTCACACCATTCTCCTGCCTCAGCCTCCCGAGTAGCTGGGACTACAGGTGCCCGCCACCACGCCCAGCTAATTTTTTTTTTTGGTAGAGACGGGGTTTCACCGTGTTAGCCAGGATGGTCTCGATCTCCTGACCTCGTGATCCGCCCGCCTTGGCCTCCCGAAGTGCTGGGATTACAGGCGTGAGCCACCGCACCCGGCCTACACGTCCTTATCTTACAAGTATCTTTAGTTTGCTTCTTAGTTCATCCTGGCCTCCATTTCCAGCACCGAACAGAGCCACCACCTACTAACTTTTCTGGCCTCTAGACCTATGAGCTTTCTGTTTGGTTCCAGACAGGAGAGCTCTCTTCACAGCCACGGGGCTCTGGCTGGAACAGCTTCCCAGTACTGAGACCAGGCATTTCTCTTTCCTTGCTAGGCTAAGGTCTAAGAAAAACTCTGCTCCACGTTGACGTCATCTTTTTTTTTCTCCTCTCCTGAACCTAATTATCTCTGAGACAGTGATTCAAGGAAGAAAGGAGAAGTAAACGCTATCTGGAGGCCTGACTCTTCCATCCTGGTTCCCACACCTCTCTCTTTGGAACTCACTTCTCCAAGCTCTTTGCCAGGTCTGTCTCTTCTAAGCACAAATGTTAGTAAGTCCCAAACCCATTTTACTAATATTAGTAGATCGAGAGCCCATCTTTATAACTTTGGCCTCAATAAGACTAGTGATAGTGTCACTCTATTTACGAGGGGAAAGGTAGTTGCCACGATGCTCTTCGGTTTAGGGGCAATTAAAATGACTACAGATTGGTGGCAGTTTATGGATTTGCACAAGAAGAGAGAACTCACAGAACTAGCATTATTTTACCCTCTGTCTTCACAGAGGTATATTTGGCTGTTTTGTTAGACATTCTGGGGACAAGAAAAAATGAAAAAAGAAAAACATGACTACAGAGGTAGAGGAATTATTACAAGAAGGGTAATCAAAAAACATGATTTACAATTCAATCCTGAGAGAGGGGTATGTACTGAAAAAGCTTTAACACATGAAGGAAAGGGGAAGAAAGGTACCTAACAAATTTTTGAGTACCTCCTATGTGTTAAACACTCTACAGTGGTCTTTTGCTTTTATTATCTCATTTAATCTGTACAACACTATAAGGATACAGCTACTGGATACTGATGCTTACAGAAATTAAATAATTGCTCAAAGTCACAGCTAAAAAGTGGAAAACCAGGGATTCGAATCCAGGTCCAAATGACTCTGCTTTAGTGAAGCTCATCCGGTTGCAAGAGATATCCAGCATAAGTGAAGGGAGGTTCACTGAAGGGAGGTTCACAAACTGAGAGTAAGAATTGAAACTATCTGGGAAAGCCAAAAACAGAGGCAGACTACAAGCTGCAAGGCAGCTCGGACTTCAAGACAGCTCCAGGAACGTCACCAGCAAACACACACCCACGGGGTTCACTCTCCTGCTCAGCCAGGTGCCGGATACAGCCACAATCTCACTCCCTCAGCGCACTCGGTTTCTGCTTATCCCAAACTTTCGCTTACACGTGGCCTCATCAGCCCCTGGACCTTTCAGCTTCAGCTCCCACTGCCAAGTAAAAAGTCTTCATGTCTCCTCGTTCTGAATCCCAAGACAAAAAGCTGACCAGCAGCTCCTCTCAAGACAGAGCACTGGTCAGCCTGAGACTGGTCAGGCTCCCAGCCTCATCTACTCAGCTCGGGCCTTGCACTTGCTGCTCCCCTTGGCCTGGAGAAGGAGTCCTCCTCAATATCCAGGCTTTGGCTCACCTCCTCAGAGAAGCCTCTCCGGCTGTCTGGCCGCTGGACAGTGGTCAAACACCACCCCCACTCCTCACCCCCTAGCTTGCTCTAAGTCACTTTTAAAAAATCACATTACTCTGTATTTAATTTATTCATAGCTCTTAGCACCATCTGAACCTATTTATTCTTCCTCACTGGAATATACGTTCCATAAATAGAGGAACCTTGTCTGTCTTGCTCTTCTCTGGCTCCAGGACTCAGAACTAGGTGCTTCGACACCTCATAGGCATTCAACAAAAATCTGATGAACGAATGAGTAGCCAGCCAGACATCGGGGCTGTAAGTGAAGGTTTCTCTTCCGAGGCTGGGTAACGGAGGTCCCATGACTTGAATACCTATTAGTTAAATGGCCAGTTCTTTAATGGTTTCAAACCGTTTTCAGATAACCCCACAAAAACCCTGTGTGGTATTTTTATAAGCTCTATTTTATAGAGAAAGAAACTGAGACTCAGTAAACTTATATGACTTGCCCAAGGTCACTCAGCAAGTGCTTGAACTCAGGATTTGAACCACATCTGCCAGACCCCCAAGCCACCTGAAACTTTCTATCTCCTCACTTTTCCTCCCACCAGGATAAGTGGGATAAAAAAGACAGACTTGGTTACCAAACTCTAGAATGACAACACTAAACAATACAGAAGAAACGTAAGTATTATTTCACTTCCCCATCAGTGGTAATTATGGATCTCATTATTCCAGAAGCAGCACAGGCTAAATCATAGAGGTTTAGATAAATCTGAGTATAACGGATTCACTAAGCCCTATTAAAAACATTTGCAGTGACTTGTTCAGCCCTCTTCAGGTTGGCTGTGTGGAGGACAACCATCACCTCCCAGTGCCAAGGCACACACCAGGACAGCAAAGCTCACGCTCATAAAACGAGGTTAGAGTTGTGAAAGCACTTCAGGAACATATTAGTTCTTAACGTGTTCATTTTCTTCAGTCCCCAATTATCACTCATTACTGAGTACAGACTATTGTTGTGGGCTCAGTTGTGTCCTCCCCACATTGATCTTGGACATCCCAAGCCTCTGGGACTGTGAGAAAACACATTTCTGTGTCTAAGCCACCCAGTTTATGGTATTTTGTCATGGCAGCCGGGGCTGACCAAGACAACTATGTGGCAGGTACTATCTACCGTATGGCCCTAAAATGTTTTAACTTCACACACCTGGAAAGCACCACAGCCCCAAGAAAAAAGCTTTTCCGCACTGCTGTTAAGCCAGGGCCACACACTGCAGTACTGCGGTGCTCCACCAGCTGGAGGATGGCCTGGCCCATAATACCCGCATTCCCACCTTGCTCTGGCCCTGTGTCCCCTCCAACGTGCATCCTGAGCTCGCACCCTGTGTGGAACCCAAACAGCTGCTTATCAGCATTTAAGTCCATTTTTATGACACTTCCGTCAACAATCTGGTCAAGTGCACTCATTCCTGGCCTCCGTACTGTACCCTGCTCCGCCTCGATTCCCGCCCTGGGGGAAGCTAGACTCATGCAGCTAACTTTATCGGCTCTGGGCTCTGATTGCCAAGTTTAGGATCCCAGCTGTATCCTTGCTAAAGTTAGCATCGCTGGGGCTCAGTTTCCGTAAGAGACAGGTGGGTTACAAGCGCTCACTCACTGTTGCAGTGTCTTATCTACGTAAGATAATCCATGAAAAGCTCAACACAGCTGGGCCAAATCTAAGACCCAGACACGCGGCTGCTGTTAATGCCCACTTCTGCGCACCGCCCAGTTCCACCGCAGGCACAACCTTCCTAGGCCTACCCGTCCCCACACAGGGGTTCCCGCTTGTCAATCACGCTGGCCCGGCCCTCCACTTCCGGAATGTTTTCCCGCTCCGGACGGGCCACCCACCTTTGCAAATAGGGGTCCGGCGCCGGAACAGACGCCCAGTTTGCGATTTCACCAGTCTGCCCTTCCTCGTCCCGCTGCTCCTCGTCCTAAGGAGCTCTGCTGCCACACAGCACTGCGCTCACCTTCTTCGCCGGCAGAATTGCTACGCTGAAAGCCAGGCCCCGGGAATCAGGGCAAACGCCACTGAGTTAGAAACTGGCGGGTCCCCTCAGTGAAAGGCAGCCGGAACAACCCCCGCCGCTGCGCATGCGCACTCCGGGACGCGCGCGAACACGCAGCAGCGAGAATCTACAGGGGCGTGGTTTGCGCACGCGGGAACTGGGATCTCAACCCCAGGGCTAGGTGCCTCCTCCCGCTGCTTTCCGCCAGCTGCGGGGTGTGAGATTAATCCCCGCCGATTAGCGCCAGGTGTACTAAGCGCTGGATGGTTCCCTGACCAGATGAAACATCAGCCGATGTTCTAATGCCGGTCCCCTGGGCGCTGTCCCCGAGAGGGAAAACCTGTTTTCTGACCCCGGCTCTAGTCGGCCTCTGGAGGTCTGCAGCTGGGTTATTTTACCTTTGAAACGGACGACACCTGCCCCGTGCACCCCAGCGGCTCCTCCACACGGAGAGATGGTGTCAGTCAAAGGCCGTCTAGATGACGAGTTTATGAAATTGTTCCTGGCCCGTGCCGGGCACGACCTTGCAGAGAGCCCAGAAGATGAAACCCCAGCCCTGCCAGGAGCTCACCTGCTAATTAGGAGGACAACGAATCACCTCACCTCCCTAGACTTTGCTTCTCCTTTATTCAGTGAGGGATTGGACTAGCTGGTCCTTGAGGACTTTTCAGAAAGTCTGGTTCTGGGAGATGACCAATGGGATCATCTTATGCTATGAGCTTTCCTGGAATGACAGGTAATTGGTGCGCCTTCCCAGCAGGGTCAGGGAGAGTTGCTGGGACTTGAAGGAAAGGCTTTTGGGGAGAGGAGCCAGTGTTACAAACTATCGAAAAGCTTGGAGGTGGGAAATTTACAAAAGGTGATTCCAGGGTCAGCTTTTTTGTCACCTGCTTCCGACTTCGGCAGTTTGGAGAGGGCGAGTAAGTAATACCCTTCAGGGTCTTGGGATGTGGCCCAGCAAAATCCTTAGAGGGACTTTGAAGTCTTAGTTTTAAGTTTAGAATTAATGGGCAGAGTACTTAAATAGCCATTTCTCCAAAGATGTATACAAATGGCCCACAGGCCCATAAAAATGTTGCATTCCACCCTATAACATGTTTTTGCATAAAAAAGTTTTAAAATAACTGTTGTCTGGTAAATTGACACCTCTGGAATAGAATGTATGCTAGGTTTTTTACCCTACTGCTTCAAACCCCATCCTACACACACACTCCTAGGGTGTGCATCATCCAGTTTAAGAAGCACCCTTGGAGAAACAAAGTTGATAGTGTGTCCAGAATTGATGGGTTCTTGGTCTCACTAACGCAAGACTGAAGCTGCAGACCCTCGCGGTGTTAGTTTTTAAAGGCGGTGTGTCTGGAGTTTGTTCCCTCAGATGTTCCGATGGGTTTGGAGTTTTTTCCTTCTGGTGGGTTTGTGGTCTTGCTGGCTCAGGAGTGAAGCTGCAGACCTTCGCCTGAGTGTTACAGCTTTTAAGACGGCATGTACTGGAGTTGCTAGTTCACCCCGGTGGGTTCGTGTATCTCACTAGCTTCAGGAGTGAAGCTGCAGACATTTGCAGTGAGTGTTACAGCTCATAAAGGCAGTGCAGACCTAAAAAACAAAAAGAACAAAGCTTCCATACTGTGGTAAGAAAATCCTAGTGAGTTACTGCTGCTGTCTTAGGGCAGCCTGTGTTTATTCTCTTCTCTGGCCCCACCCACATCCTGCTGATTGGTCCATTTTAGAGAGAGCTGATTGGTCTGTTTTACAGAGAGCTGATTGAGCCGTTTTGACAGGGTGCTGATTGGTGCGTTTATAATCCCTGAGCTAGACACAAAAGTTCTCCAGGTCACCACTAGATTAGCGAGATACACAGTGTCGATTGGTGTATTTACAAACCGTGAGCTAGACACAGAGTGCTGATTGGTGCATTTACAAACTTTGAGCTAGATACAGAGTGCCGATTGGTGCATTCACAATCCCTTAGCTAGACAAAGGTTCTCCAAGTCCCCACCAGATTAACTAGATACACAGTGCCGATTGGTTCATTCACAAACCCTGAGCTAGACACAGGGTGCTGATTGGTGTGTTTGCAAACCTTGAGCTAGATACAGAGTGCCCATTGGTGTATTTACAATCCCTTAGCTAGACATAAAGGTTCTCCAAGTCCCCACTAGACTTAGGAACTCAGCTGGCTTCACCAAGTGGATGCGGCAGCGGGCAGCAGGTGGAGCTGCCTGCCAATCCCGCGCTGTGCACCGGCACTCCTCAGCCCTTTGGGGGTTGATGGGACTGGGCACCGCGGATTAGGGGGCGGCGCTCGTCGGGGAGGCTCCGGCCGCGTAGGAGCCCATGGCTGGGGCGCCGGCAGGCGGCTCAGTCATGGCGGGCTGCTCAGTCATGGTGGGCTGCAGGTCCCGAGCCCTGCCCCGCGGGGAGGCAGCTAAGGCCCGGCGAGAAATGGAGCACGGCAGCTGCTGGCCCAGGTACTAAACCCCTCACTGCCCGGGGCTGGCGGGCCGGCTGCTCCGATTGCGGGGCCCGCCGAGCCCACGCCCACCGGGAACTCGCGCTGGCCCGCAAGCGCCGAGCGCAGCCCCGGTTCCCGCCTGCGCCTCTCCCTCCACACCTCCCTGCAAGCTGAGGGAGCTGGCTCCGGCCTTGGCCAGCCCAGAAAGGGGCTCCTACAGTGCAGCTGCGGGCTGAGGGGCTCCTCAAGCGCGGCCAGAGTGGGTGCCAAGGCCGAGGAGGCGCCAAGAGCGAGCCAGGGCTGCGAGGGCTGCCAGCAGGCTGTCACCTCTCAATAGGACGTGAAGGTCGGTCGGGGTCTGGTTGTAGAAGGCTTTAAACAACAAGCTAATAAATTTATACTTCACACTGTAGACAAGTTGCAAGTCACTGAAACATTTTTAAACAGAGGAGTGGATTTGCAAATGCAGTGTCTTGGAAATATTAAGCTGGAAGCAGTGTGAAGGATGGTTTGGTGGGGAGAGACCAGAAGCAAGCAGCCAAGTTGGGTTGTGCAGTAAACCAGGCAGTGCAGTAGAGGCTTGGACCTCAAGAGTGACAATAGACATGGAGAGGACAAAGGCCGTACCCACCAGGCTGTAAATCTGCATTGTGTCCCTCCATCCTCCCCTCGCTTCTGCCCTGGAGGCTTATATTTAGAGAGCTGTACTCCTAACGTGAGGCCCTGGGCTTTGTCTCAAAGGTAAAGGCAAAAGTTCCTTATGTGGACTACCTCTGCATTTGTTATTAAACAGCCTTAGATGATGCCATTAATTGAATGAACTCAGAGGCCTTCTTGATAAACTCTCAAAACTCAGGGCTTAGGAAGAAAAGTGCTTGTACTAATGTAGAAATATTTTCTATAACCGGACAGTGAGAGCTGTAGAAACCCATTATGCATTCTTCTTTGCCTTCACTGCTAGTGATCTCAGGGCTAAATATTGCACATTGTTTTAGTTTTCTTTGGCAAGCATTTTTTAATTTTGTTGTTGTTGTTCTCATTCCTTCTTGCTAATTTTAAGTGCATGTTCTAATAAAGTCTGACTGCCTGGTGGGCAGATCACGAGGTCTGGAGATCGAGACCATCCTGGCTAACATGGTGAAACCCCGTCTCTACTAAAAATACAAAAAAAAAAAAAATTAGCCGGGCGTGGTGGTGGGCGCCTGTAGTCCCAGCTACTTGGGAGGCTGAGGCAGGAGAATGGCGTGAACCTGGGAGGCGGAGCTTGCAGTGAGCCGAGATCACGGCACTGCACTCCAGCCTGGGTGACAGAGCGAGACTCCGTCTCAAAAAAAAAAAAACAAAAAAAAACAGTCTGACTGCCTGGATCCAGATATTCCCCACTCCACCATTCAACTGGCTGGATGACCTTGGCCTATGACTTAAGCCTTCTGAGTCTCTGCTTTTCTCACGAATAAAATAAAGATAATAATAGGACCTATGTTCTAGAATTCTTATGAGATAAATGAGATAATCCTGGTAACATAAAGGGCTTAACATCTTACTTGTCATTGTGGAAGCTTAACAAATGGTAGCTATTACTGATATGAATTGGGTTTGGTTTCAGCGTTCCTCTGCTTTTATTATAAATTTCCTTAGATCCTCTTCTAGAAGGAGAGCATGTAGGAGGTACAAGTTTGTTTTCAACAAGCAATTCTCTTGGGAACTAAGAGTGAGAACTGAGTCACTTCTGCCATAAGGGCAGCAAGCCTTTCATGAGGGATGTACCCCCATGGTCCAAACATTGCCCACCAGACGCCACCTCCAACACTGGAAATCAGATTTCAACATGAGACTTAGGCCAAACAAACCACATCCAAACTGGAACACCTAGGTAGTGGGAAAGGCTCATGAAATGTGCCTGTGCTATAAGAGAAAACATTATCAGAGACTAGATTGTTCTGTCCCCAAAACCCTATATGCCTCACTCTGGAACAGCGCAAGATGCACCCTAATAATATTTACTTCTCTGAACCCCAGTTTCTTGGATTATTATGTCTATCTTGATATATTACTTTAGCTCATTAAGCCACACCGTAGTGGGGGTGGGACATGGTGTTTCTTCACATAATAGGTTGATGTACTTAGTCAAACTAAATTTTCAGTGGTGTTTGAAAATGGGGGGACTAGAACTCAGGAAGGTGGTAAAAGCTGGATATATGGATTTGATCACCCCTGGGAAACAACAACAACAACAAAAAACATCTAAACTAAAGCTGTGGAGGTAGTAAGATTACTGAAAGGAAAAGTTTCCAAAAGGAAGGAGGTATCCACATATAAAAGAATGAAGTAGGATCCTTGTCTTATACAATATATCCAAATTAACTTAAGATGGATTTTCTAAAGTTAAAATGAAGTTAAAATTAAAAATTAAAGTTAAAAGCTATAAAACTATAAAACTGGTAGAAGAAAACAGAGGGGAAAAGCTTTATGACATTGCATTTGGCAATGATTCCTTGGCTATGACACCAAAAAGCACAGGCAACAAAAAAAATTGGTGATGAGTTGAGGGATTTGTAAAATAACATAAAAATAGATGAATTGGACAACAACAAAAGTTACAACTTCTGTGCATTGAAGGGCAGGATCAACAGAGTGAAAAGGCAACCTACAGAATGGGAGCAAGTATTTGTAAATCATCTATCTGATAAGGGGTTAATAACCAGAATATATAAAGAACTTCTATATCTCAGCAACATGAAAACAATCTGATTAAAAAAATTGGCAAAATACTTAAATAGATATTTCTCCGTAAAAGATGTGCAAATGGCCCACAGGCACATGAAAAGATGCTCGACATCCCAGTCACTGGGAAAATGCAACTCAAAGCCACGATGAGGTACCACTGCAATCCATGGGGATGGCTACTATTACACACACACACACACACACACACACAGCCAGGCACAGTGGCTTATGCTTGCAATTCCAGCACTTTGGGAAGCTGAAGCGAGAGGATAACTTGAGGGCAGGTGTTCAAGACCATCCTGTGTAACATAGTGAGACCAGATCTCTGCAAAAAATTTAAAAAAATATTAGGGGGGAATCGTGGCACACACCTGTAGTCCCAGCTACCCAAAAGGCTGAGGTAGGAGGATTGTGTGAGCCCGGGAGTTCAAGGCTGTAGTGAGCTATAATTGCACCACTGCACTCCAGCCTGGGTGACAGAGCAAGACCCTGTCTCAAAAAAAAAGAAGAAAGAAAAAACCTCAACCCAAAAGGAGCAAAACAAAAAATAAATGATGGCAAGGATATAGAGAAATTAGAACTTTTGTACATGGCTGGTGGGAATGTAAAATGGGGTAGTCACTATGGAAAAAAATTAAAAATAGAATTACCATATGATCCAACAATTTCACATCTGGGTTTGTAAACAACAGAAGTAAAAGCAGTGTCTTGACATTTTTGCACACCTGTGTTTATAACAACATTATTTGCAACAGCCAAAAGGTAGAAGCAACCCAAGTGTCTATTGACAGATAAGTGCATAAAGTGTGGTATATACATACAATGGAATATGATTCAGTCTTGGAAGGAAGTTCTGACACATGCTACGACATGGATGAGCCCTGAGGCTATTATTTGTATTAGGGTTCTCCAGAGAAACAACCAGCAGGGTGTGTGTGTGTGTGTGTGTGTGTGTGTGTGTGTCTACACAGAGCGAAAAAGAGGCTTAAAGAATTAGCTCATGCAGTTGTGGAGGACTGGTGAGTGAAAATCTGATTGTATTGGCTGGCAGGCTGGAGACCTAGGGAAGAGTTATGGTTCAAGGCCAAAGGCAGTCTGCTGGCACAACTCCTTGTTCAGGGGAAGTCAGTCTTTGTTCTAGTAAGGTCTTCACCTAATTGGATGAGGTCCACCCACATTACGGAGGGTAATCTGCTTTACTTAGAGTCCATTGATTTAAATGTTAATCTCATCCAAAAAACACCTTCACAGAAACACCCAGAATAATGTTGGCCAAATGTATGGGTACGGTGGCTCAGCCAAGTTGACACATAAAATTAACCATCACATTATACTCAGTGAAAAAGCCAGTCAAAAGACAAATACTGTATTATTCTACTTACATGAGGTTGTTAGAGTAGTCAGATTCATAGAGACAGAAAGTAGAAGAGTGATTGTCAGGGGCTGGGGGAAGGGCAAATAGGGAGTTGTTTTACGGGTGTAAGAATTTCAGTTTTGCAAGAGGAAAAGTTCTGGAGACTGGTCGCACAACAATGCCAGTATGTTCAACATGAATGAAGTGTACATTTGAACAGGGTTAAGGTACATTTGATTATGTATATTTTATTAAAAGTTTTTGAAAAAAAATGAGGAACAGAGAATGACCTTTAGGAAATATCCACATTTGAAGATGGGAAAGGAAGATGAGAGAATGATGAATCAGTGAAATAGAAGGCAGTTTACAGCTATCTGAGCCAAAGGACAAAATGATCAACACTGAAATATAGTACAGTCAAGGTGAACACTAATTAGAAAAAAGTCTCCTGGGTGTGATCATTCAAAGGGCAACTGCACTGAGTTGAGTGTTAATACATTAGTTTGAACAAAACCACTTTGCACGGTGAAGATGACTCTAGGTGATGCGGTTAAAGGAGGAAACCTGGAGGGGCGGAGAGAAACAGGAGAGGAATGGACTTGAGGGTGGAAGGAAAGGAGACCATGCAAAGGAAGACCCTGGAGATACAGATAAAGTGAGAGGGCCACTTTTGCCTCTGCCTTTGACATTTCCTCCTGCCGGGTAGCCTGACTTGGTCAAGATTCTAAAAGTTACGAGATAAGGGGCCCCATAAATCAGACTAAGCTGGGGCAGCTGCCCTAAGAATGTGCAGCTAGGGACTGGTGGCAAGAAACAGACCATGGCAGGTTTGGAGAGATCCTCAAGGAGTCCAAGCCTGAAGTAAATTGCAGTGGAAGCCAAAATGTCAAAGACAAAGTACAAAGCTAGGCTGAAGACCAAGTGGACAAATGCCAATGCACAGTCACGGGCTGCATAACGATATTTCAGCCAACAACAGACTGCATATAGGAAGGTGGTTCCATAGATTATAACAGAGCTGAGCAATTTCTGTGACCTAGTGGCATAGTAACTATCATAACATGGTAGCACAACGCATGACTCACATGTTTGTGGTGGTCCTGGTATAAGCAAACCTGAGTTGCCAGTGTATAAGAGTATAGCTTGGAGAGTTACATACAGTACACAATACTTGATAATGATCATAAATGACTGTTACTGGTTTATGTGTTTACAATACTTTTATTATTATTTTAGAGTGTACTCTTTCTAGTTTTGTTCTGTTTTTGAGACAGAGTCTCGCTCTGTTGCCTAGGCTGGACTGCAGCGGCATAATCATAGCTCACTAAAGTGTTGAACTGGGCTCATGCCATCCTCTCACCTCAGTCCCCCAAGTAGCTGGACAACAGATGCACACTATCACACCCGACTAATTTTTTTTATCTTTACTTTTTGTAGAGACAGGTTCTTGCTCTGTTGTCTAAACTTGTCTTGAACTCCTGGCTATATGTGATCCTTCTACCTTGTCCTCCCAAAGTACGGGGATTACAGGTGTGAGCCACCATGCCCGGCCTCTGCTTTCCAAAAACGAAGCTGACTGAAAAGCAGATTCAGCCAAGATCCTTCAGGAAATATCCCAGAAGGAAGCATTGTTACCATAAGACGCGGCAGCTTCATACGCGTTACTGCCCCTGAAGACCTTCCAGTGGGACAACACGTGGAAGACAGTGATATTGATGATCCTGACCCTGTTTAGGCCTGAGCTAATGTGTGTGTTTGTGTCTTAATTTTTAACAGAAAAGTTTAAAAGAAATTTTTTTAAATAGAAAAAAGCTTATAAAGAAAAGCTGTACAGTTGTGTTTTAAATTAAGCGTTATTACAAGAGTCAAAAAGTTTAAAAAATTAAAACGTTTATAAAGTGAAAGAGATACAGAAACCTAAGGTTAATTTACTGAAGAAAGAACAATATTTTAACAAATTTAGTGTAGCCTAAGTGTCCACTGTTTATAAAGTCCACAACAGTGTGCAGTAATGTCCTAGGCTTTCACCTGCACGCAACACACACTCCCTGACTCACCCAGAGCAACTTCCAGTCCTGCAAGCTCCATTCATAGTAAGTGCCTGTGTGTGGAAAAACCACCTCCAATGTGTTTTTCTTCTGCTCTCACACCACAGCAACCATCAACATGGAAGACTTCTATGACGACATACAGGGGAATTTCTCCCCACACACCAAGCAAACAAGCAGTTCTGGAGGGGACACCAGCTAGGTGTCCTCCAGTTCAATTGTGACACCGCCTACCTGGAGATAGCATCAGATCCCACAGGTTGTAGGCTCATTCTCCCAAGACTGTCCCCTCCTTCCCAAGATAGCAAGTCCAGGTCTGTAGAACATCTGACCCACCAGCTTCAAGTTGGGGTTCCTATGACCTCTTCTTTGTGTTTGATTAATTTGCTAGAGTGCTCACACAACTCAGGGAAACACTTATGTTTACTGGTTTATTACAAAGGGTATTTTACATGATACAAATAAACAGCCAGATGAAGAGATACATGGGGTGAGTCTGGAGGGGTCCCTAACCCAGGAGCTTCTGTGGAGTTGGGGTGTGGCCACCCTCCTGGCATAGGGAAGAGTTTTGTCAGCCTCCACGTGTTCAGCTTTCCAGAAGCTCCCTGAGCCCTGTCCTCTTGAGCCTTCAATGGAGACATCATTGGGTAGACATGATTGACAACCATGTACAAATACAACTGGACCAGAAGGGATGATCTAACACTAGTTGTCTGAGATGGGAAAACCCACCAAGGCTTATCCAGATTCTTGGCCTCTCTGTGCAGCATTCCCACCTCCTAAGGATGGGCAGGACCCTCTCTGGAATGAGGATCTTATGATGTGCAGAGTCCTGCCTTGGGCAGGTGAAAGGAGGGCAGGAGAAAGTCAGAGACAGAGAGAGTCTGTTTTCTGAGCCTAAAGTGTCCCAGCACTATAACAAGACTATAATGAGGGCCATAGAAGTTATGAGCCAGGAACCCTGGACAAAGACATATAAATACTATAATGCTATAGTGCCCTTTAGTGCCCTTTAGAGGCATACCACTTTTATCTTTCAAACCATATGTTTACTGTACCTTTTCTTTGTTGAGACATTTGGAGACACAGATACCATCATGTTGAAGTTGCCCACAGTATTCAGTATAGTCATGTGCTGCACAGGTCTGTAGCTTAGGAAATGTAAACTAAAGAAAAATGACCAAGGTGAGTCCTGATCATTTTAGGTTTATTTGCTGAGGTTGAGGACATGTCCAGGAAAGAACGTAGATCCACAGGAAACATTGTGTTTCATGCTTTTTCCAAAGAGGGTCTTGGGATCCCAATATTTAAAGGGAAAAGGCCAGGTATTGAAAGAGGAAGATACATTTTTAAAAGGGTATGGGTAGATAAGAGGCAAGCAGTTGCATTCTTTTGAGTCTTTGATTAGCCTTCACATGTAAGAGGGTAGGGGAACAGTCACTTAAACATTCATCTAGTTCAATGAACCTGCATTTTTACATAAGATAAACAGGCAGGGGGAGCAATCAGATATGCATTTGTCTCAGGTGAGAAGAGGGATGACTTATGTCTCTTGTTCCATGCCTGTGAAGATAAGCCATCAATTTACATGGTCAGGGTGAAATTCAACGTAACTATCTTAGGGTAAACATCTTGGGGGCCCATAAAGAATTTCCTTAGTTTTTCTTTAATGTTATTGAATGACTGTTGGCATTCCACTGTCTAATATAAAGGTTCTGACTCTGACATTTTAAATGCCTCAGATAAGTCCTTTACTAGGAGACCAAAATTAGGGATCAAAGGTGACAAAAGCCAACTATACCTAAGACTCCTTTTAGTTATCTGATTTTTGAGAGCCTTGATAGTGGCTATTGCTTGTTACCTGTCAGGCATCAGACTCTGCTTACCTTATTGCAGGCAAACCCCTGAATAGACTACCTGCTCTTTGCATATTTGCAAAGAGATACTTTATGATCCAATTCCACCAGGCTGTTTAAAACTAGTATTGGCCAGGTGCGGTGGCTCACGCCTGTAATCCAGACACTTTGGGAGGCCACAGTTGAAGGATCGCTTAAGCACAAAAGTTCAAGGCCAGCCTGGACAACACTGTGAGACTCCATCTCTACAACAAATAAATTTTAAAAATTAGCCATGTGCAGTGGCACACACATGCAGTCCCAGCTACTTGGGAGGCTAAGGTGGGAAGCTCGCTTGAGCCTAGGAGGGCAAGGCTGCAGTGACCCATGATCACACCACTGCACTCTAGCATGGGTGGCAGAGTGAGACCTTGTTTCAAAACAATCAAACAAAAACTGGTATAAACAGTCTTCATAAGTGGGGCTAGCAATGAGTAAATTACCCATGCATTGTAATAGTATTCCCCTGTTTAATTGCAAGCTTCTCAAATCTTTTAGTAAGATTTTTTTCAAAAATGGTAAAGGAATACTTAAATATTTGGGCAGTACAGTCTAGCAGTTTTGGAAGTTTGCCCTAGTCTCCAGATCTTGCCATTCAAGTGCAAAAACAACTGGGCTTTCTCCTCAATTAGTAGACACTGAACAAAAGCATCCTTTAATTCCTATGCTGAGAACCAGCCATAATCCCCTGGGGTAGCTGTAAGTGGGGTATATGGGTTAGCCACGATTGGGTGGGTATCTTGAACGATGTCATTAATAGCTCTCAAATTTGCACAAATTGATACTAATTGGAGTTTGGTTTCTTCACTGGCAAGATAGTGGTATTGTATTGAGACTGTCATGATTGAATAAGTCTGTGCTTTAGAAACCTGTGTAATCCCCCTGTATGACTTCTAATTCTTTACCTTTTAAGCAGTGTTGTTTTTATGTGGAATTAATGCTTTTTTAAATTCAACGTGCACAGGCTGAGCTTTGACTGCTAGTTCAGGTTCCCTTGTCTTCCCAAACAGTGCAACTCCCTCTGTTGTAGACTTCCAGCAGGAATGGTTCTTGAGTTCTTTTCTCTGGCTGAATCACCAGTGCCTGTAGGCATAGGACATGTTTGGGTGATACCTGGATTCTTAGATGTTGTTTCTCAGGAGCAAAAGTGACTTGGGCATTTAATTTACATAACAAATCTTGGCCCAACAATGGAATAGGGCAATGTGGCATATACAGAAAGCTATACCTCAATCTTATATCCCTCAATTTATATTCTTAGGGCTTAAGAAAGAGTCTCTGTTGTAACTTCCCAGTGACTCCAGCCTTGGCTGGAAACATTGCTACAGTATCAACCAATAAGCCAGTCATTTTGTTCCCCACTGTCGCTTGTACCCAGGGCTCCTGTAGGGAAATTACTGTTGCTCTGTTAAATCAGGCGGAGTCCCTGTGCCCCATCAGTCTTCATCAGAGTCACAATCCTGCTCCACCATCTCCTTCTTTGGCGTATATTTCCCTTTTCCTCTCCCTTGTCTTTTTTATTACCATCTTTTCTCTGTAGCTTAGGGGGGCATACTTCTCATGTCCAGATTTCCCCACTGTAGGCACACTGGTCCTTGTCTAGGGATTCCTTTCTATTTCACCCCTCATTCTTCCACCTTTTTGAACAGTCTCCATGAAAATGGTTGCCTGTCTAGCTTTTCTTGTTTCTCTAGCATTGAAGTCTTTGTAAGCAATATCTGTAAACTGGGAAGGGTTCATTCCAACAGTCCCTTCCTGCTTTTCTAATTTTCTGTTAATGTCAGAAGCACTTTGGCTGATGAAAGTTATATTTATGACCCAAACATGTTCCAGAGCCTCTGGATCAATATCTGAATATTTTCTGTAAGCCTGTTACACTTGTTTCAACCAAGCTGCTGGGTTTTCACTGGCCTCCTACCAGAGGTCATGGATGTTTTTTATTGAGGCTTTGCTGCTTAGGTACTCCCTTTCTTAGGAGTAATCCTACAGTCAAGATATAACCTCATTATTAAGGTTTCATTTGCGTTTCACTAAGGAAATTGCCTCTGGGATGTTGGAGGACCCAGCAGGGTCTTCCTGGTATAGCCTTCTGGCTCCATCATTAGTCTTGTCTAAAAATAACCCCCTTTCATCATAAAATTTAATAATGCTTGTACACCTGCTATTGTGGAATGATGAATAGAAAAAATACTGGTGAATATTTCAGTCATCTCCTATGGATCATCCCTATAGGATGGACTTGAATATTTTTCCATTTACTTAGTCAAAGATAGAAAATGGTGAATAACCAAAATAGCCCAGGAGTATGGCCCTGTGCATTTAATCCTCCAGCGGGGAATTTGCATAACAGAAATTGTTCTGCCGCATGAGGGTGTACGCTGTGGTCAAATTTAGTTGCCTTGTCAGGTCTTAAAAGGGGAGCCTATTTCTTGGCTACCTTTAAAATGAGGAGGGGCCACCACACCCTGTAAGTCTGTATTATCTGGATAATCCTCTGGTGGAGGGGGCAGAGATGGGGCAACTCAGGGTACTGTGCTGGTACTGCAGCTGGGGCCTCCATGGGAGCCTGCACAGGTGCCAGAGCAGGCTGCAATGGGACAGGCACCTGCAAAGCCTCAGCATCATTTGCCTGTGGAGGGTTTATAGTTGACAAGATTATCCTATCTCCTTCTTTTCCTCCTCAGGTAATGGAGAGTGAGGAGATTTTACCTGATATGGTCCTGTTTGCACCATCAGCCAGCAACCTTTCTGGGAAGCGTGCTTATTATGTACCAACATAAAAGCTTGAATATAAGGTATGCAGTCCCAATTTCCTGATCTCAGATTGAAATGTTCAAGCTGTATAACATTAAATTCAAAGAACCATGTAATGGCCACCTATCTTCCTCATGTATCACGTACATTGACCACACCTTATTGCAGTAGATTATCTTTTTTGTCGTAGGGTTATCACTGTAGGCTTACCAGTCAGCCAATATGAACCACAGTGGGCTCTGAGAGGGGACTGATGAAAAAAACTTCCCATGGTGGACACAAACAAAACACAACCAAAACAAATGAAGCACTTTTCCAACCCAGGCTTTCACAAAGGAAGAGACTGGTATGGAGTCACTATGAGTCATTTCTTCTACCAGTGGTACCACAAATGGTCCAAAGGCCCAAATGGTAAAGAAAGTGGACTACTACTTTGCACCCCAGTAGACTTACCTGGTTGTACAGCTCATCAGCTCATCCAAAAAGCTAGTTTCCCAGCACTTTGGGAGGCCAAGGCGGGCGGATCACGAGGTCAGGAGATGGAGACCATCCTGGCTAACAAGGTGAAACCCCGTCTCTACTGAAAATACAAAAATTAGCCGGGCATGGTGGCGGGCGCCTGTAGTCCCAGCTACTCCTAGGATGCTGAGGCAGGAGAATGGCATGAACCCAGGAGGCAGAGCTTGCAGTGAGCCGAGATTGCGCCCCTGCACACCAGCTTGGGTGACAGAGCGAGACTCCATCTCAAAAAAAATTAAAATAAAAAAAATAAAGCTAGTTTCCTTTCACCAACTAAAAGCAAAAGTAGGCAGTCAGTACTGAATGGGGGAAAGGAGGAAGTTTCCCTGAAGTAGAAAGAGTTTTGGCAGCCTCTCTTTGGCAGACTTTGGGGCTGTCTCTGCAGTTCCCTTCTGCCATGAGTAGCCAGTGCCACAGAGCATTTGCCGCTAACCTCTGGTAATGTGAATGAGTTAGCCCTGACCTGCTGCCGCCATCAATTGCTCCACCTCTTGGGAACCAAGAAGTCCTCCCAACAATATGGATGAGTTAGTCCTGGTATGAAGCTGTGACCAATTGCTTTGTCTGTTGGGAGCTGACAGGGTGCAAACAGCCCAGAGCACACGGCTTCTGGCTGGGCTTGCCAAAATTTGTAACCAAACCCAGATCTAGGCCACTTGTTGCTTGAAAGCCAAAAGTCTAGAGACAAATGTTGGTGAAAGGGAAAGTTAGCTACATTCAGGAAGCCAAAAACTCGAGGGAGGCTGTGAACTCATCTTCAAAGACCACCTGTCTGATCCGGGAGGTTTTAAGGGAAATTAGGAGCAGGGCAAACAATGATCGAAGCATTTCACAAAAAGTTTTTGTTACTAAGCCTGACCTAACCTGAAAATAGCCTTAGCTTTTTTTCTCTCTCTCTTTTTAGACACAGGGTCTCACTTTGTCACCCAGGCTGGAGTGCAGTGATGTTATCTTGGCTCAGTGCAGCCTTGACCTCCTGGACTCAAGTGATCCTCCTGAGTAGATAAGATGACAGGCATGCACCACCATACCTAGCTATTATTATTATTTATTATTATTATTATTTTTGTTTGTGTATAGGCAGGGTCTCGCTTTTCTGCACAGGCTGGTTTCATCCTCCTGGCCTCCAGCAATCCTCCTACCTCAGCTTCGTGAAGTGCTAGGAATACCAGTCTGAACCACTGTACCTGGCTGATCAGAGCATTCTTATGAAACATGTGAAGTCTCAGGCAGGCAGGCAGGCAATCACTGTTTTCTTGGTCAATGTTGTATGACCTTCTGCAGGTACCATCAGGCTATTCTTATCAAGCCACTTAGCCCATTCCCAGAGTTGTTTGTCAGTGTTTTTTCTTTTATGTCTGCTGAAGATCCTGTATTTCTGAGGCTGTTTTTAATGAATAATCTACAGTCTCAGGAAAAGCAATAACTGTATTCAAGCAAACAAGCTTTTCTCTAACATGGAGTCAGTACTGTTATAGTTTTTTGTTTTTTTGGTTTTTTTTTTTTTTTTGATTCAGAGTCTCTCTCTGTTGCCCAGGCTGGAGTGCAGTGGCGTGATCTCTGCTCACTGCAAGCTCTGCCTCCTGGGTTCACGCCATTCTTTTACCTCAGCCTCCCGAGTAGCTGGGACTACAGGCACCCGCCATCATGCCCGGCTCATTTTTTTTTTGTATTTTTAGTAGAAACAGGGTTTCACTGTGTTAGCCAGGATGGTCTCGATCTCCTGACCTCGTGATCCGCCTGCCTTGGCCTCCCAGAGTGCTGGGATTACAGGCATGAGCCACTGTGCCTGGCCATGTACTGTTCCAGTTTTATCCAATAGTGCATACAATTTAGAAGCAGTGAAAAACATTCTGATTATGACCGACTTCAAAGATGTAATGTCAGTCCATTCTGGCCAATGTGGAAACAGGTTCTATGGTCTTTCCATATCTTTCAGTGTTCTCAGAACCAAGTTTCAATAGCCTTAATATTTCATTACTTTTGAGAAAAAAGAAAAAGTTGCCCTCTGACTTCATGCCAGAAAAACTGCTAAGGATTTTATATTATCTCCTTAAATCCTCACAGCAATGTTGATAGATTAAGTCAATCCCTCAGGATTGGGTTTGCCTGTGATAGAAAACTCACACTCCCTTGCCCCCTTATGAACAAAGTCTGAAGGTAAACTGTGCAAAATGATGAATAGCTCTGCTAGCATAAGTGATCTAGGTTCTTTCTATCTTTTGGCTCTTCCGCCTTTTAATATATCACTTCCTCCTGATGGTTTAAGATCACTGTTTAGCCCCAGGCATCGTGTTTCATTCTAGTCACGAAGAAGACAGGCAGGATAGAAATGCATGTGCCCTTGCTCTTTAAGAATACTTCTTGAAAGTGCCATATGGGACTCTACCTTCCACTGCTTGGTCAGAACTTAGTTACGTGGCCACACCTAGCTGCAAGGGGGGTGGAAAACATGTTCTCCATTCCAGGTGGCCAAATGCATGGTTTTTTAAAAAGGAAGAAGGGTATTGGAGGACAGTTCCACAGAGGTGTTATAAATACCATTTTGTGGATGAGAAATCAGGTGCAAGGAAATTGAGCTCTGACCTTTGAGGGAGCATAAAGAACTAATCAGGAATACCTGTGTTCTTTTCCAGTGAATTCACAGCTGGAGTCACCTCAGCAGTGGCATCTGGGGTGCCACTGCTGGCATCAGGGGAGTTCCCACAAGGGAGTACCCCAAGCCATCCCAAGATGGGACCAGTTGGAATCCCAAAGAAAGAAGCACTAGACGCCAGGGTGATCAGATCAAAGCATTTATTATGAGAACTTAGGTAGAAACTGGGTTTCACCATTTCCTCCAGATAGGCAGTTAGGGAAAGAGGTGCTCTACCTAGTGAGGTCTGCAGCATGAGGATCAGGGAATGGAGTTGGTGAGAGATTAAGGCATTTGGCTCAGGGCCTGGCCAGTTCCTCTCAGTGTTTGGGGCAACAACCTAAACACCTTTGTAGGTGCCTGGGAGTGTTCAAAGCGTAACCTTGGGTTCCAGCCTGCCGGGCAAATTGTGCAGCTGATGGGGTCACAGAACAGTTGAGGCACGCTCTGTTTCTTGGTTAGGACAGAAAAAGGGAAAACGGAGTACCCTTCAACTACTATGCGGTAGGGGGGACAAAGTTTCAGAATGATTTTAAAAACTAAATTAGAATGAACTTCAGTTATTCCAACAATAGCATAACTTGTTCTATGGCAATCTGACGTGCTTTCTTACATGACGGGGGCTATAGTCAGCAGCACTCCACTGTATGTATCCCACAGCCCACCTTCCTATGCTCTCATCCGTAATCCAAATATACCCACGAGAGTGTGGCAACCCTGTGAATTTCACCCAACACGTGTGGAGATAGAAAAGGGAATTGAAAACCAAACCCGATGCTGCTCTGCCACCCTACTCTCTTCTTGTGTCAGTGAAACCTTTCCTGAAAACTCAAGGAGATGCTTCCAGAACTGTTCTGTCACTTGGGCTTACCCCTAGTATAGATACTGACAGCCAACAGTTTCCTAGGGAGATAAGAGACAAGAAGCCTAAGGTATCTTCCAAGATCAAATCTACCTCCTTAGTCCTAATCCAAAGTTGTCCATCCCATTAAACCAAAGGTGGGAGAATCTACTATGGAGTGGCCTCACTGACATCCAGACAGACAACTGGAATAAGCTTTAGCCCCCGGTTCTAAATATTCACAGTGACTCACAAGTGGTTCGTAGATAGACCCAACTTCTTCAGGTGGACTTTGGTGCTTGTGCCTCCGTTGACCTTGTTAACCAAAAAGTGACTGCGACATGTTTCAATCGATTACAGGTTTATTTAGCCAAAGTTGAGGACACGCTGGGTCCCTGCACTGCCTTCTTCTCTGTCGGTCTCCTGAAAGCCTCTGCTTAAGGAGGTCTCCGTGGCCATCTTTAGCATCTCAGAGTGAATTAAATCCCCCTTTCTAAGGGCATTTTCCTGTGAAGCTTTATTCTCTGTGACATAAGGGGAGAGGGATTTTTAGAGAACCTGGGGTGGCGGGGGCTTTAGAGGAGAGGGGGGATTCTCAGGGGATTTCCCTCTCCCCAGAGATACATCTCTCCATGAAACAAACAAACAGAAAGCACGCAATACAGTGCACAGCACACAGTCAGTGCTCATGAAGTGTTGGTTCCCCGTCTGCCTACTGCAGTTGGTACAAACAACACTCAGGGTGCCAAGCTTCAGTTTGGTGAAGAAAAGCATAGCCCACATTCCAGTTCCCAGGCCTCGTCCTGAAGGGTAAGGGCAGCTCAGGCCCTGGCATTGCTTGTCCTGAGGACAGGCCAGCATGTCCTGTGCCTGGTGGTCTCCAGAAATGTTGTTGCCTGCCTGCTGCCACTCTGCATCTCAAGCTTATCCCCCCATGCCTTGCCAAAGCCCACTCCATCTCCCTCCCCTCCCAATCCACCTGGAGCTCCCACCTGTCATCTTTCCTTCCCACCGTGGGGCAGGTGGCGATCTGCAGGCCTCCCTGAGAGAGAACTGCCCCTACCCTGCCTCAAAGCCAGGGGCACTGATCCAGCTCTCAGCTCCAAGAAGATGGACTGGGATCTTCCCTTAATGCCTTCTGGGGTCTGAGGATAAAGATGGAGAGAGGCACTGAGCTGAGCACAAACAGGAAAAGGAAGAGCTCATGGCTCAGAGCTGAAGAAGACAGGACCCAGTGAGCAGAGGACTGTGTCCCCATAGGGAAAGACATGTTCTGGTACAGGCAGGTCTGGAGTTCAGGAAGGATTCAGGCTCAGTAGGGACTCCGGCTCACTGCCCTCTGCTTGGGAGAGCAAACCCTCCTAGGTGAGGTTTCCTTTCTGTGCCTTTACTGCAGGGAGCTTGTGTCAGAATCAAGGGCACCATCAAAATAGGATGCCACAGACATCTCAGCTGTGCCAAACTAATGCCCAAAGGCTCAGCTATTGCAGGTAGGGGTGGGAGGGCAGGCCCTCACAGGTAGGCCTCCTCACAGGCCCACCCTGCCCTTTATGGCACAGCCCAGGACCCTTAGGTCAAAGCTGACTTTTCCCAGTCTCAAAGCGCCGTCTTATCTGTTGCTTTATTTGTAACTCACAACAGGCCTCTGAGTCAGGCAGGGCATATGTCACTCCTATTTCATAGAAAGAGAAACTGAGGCATGGGGTGGGCTAAGTGACTTGGGCCAGAGGGTAAGTGAATTGGAGTCAGGACTCAGATCTCCTTGGATCCACACCAGACATCCTCCCACATGGAACCCTCTCCCTAATCTTAACACTTCCATGGCGTCATGGCTTCATCAGCCATCACAAGAAAATGAGGCCACAGAAATTGCATGCATGTTCATGTGTGTGTGTGCCTGTGTGTGTGTACACAAGTTCATGTGTTTGTGCACGTGTGCATATGTGCATGCGTGATGCCTTACTTGCTGAGGGAAGAGGAGG